>NC_000007.14:119476475-119779506 GCF_000001405.40 Homo sapiens | reverse complement strand
GTAGCTCACACCTAATAATTAAAGTTATGTTCCACTTTCTTGAGAGCTGCCTAAATTATTTGAGATTCTTCTGCATAGGAGATTTGTTTCTTCTCTTCCATTCATTTATTTATTGAATTATTTATTTATATCAGTATAAACTGATGGATATATATTTTATATTATGGGTTATATTTTAATACAATTTTATTTTGTTCTTCAACTTTTTTCAGATGTAGACAATGGGAGCTCTTTCAGTTGGCTCCTGTGTACCTTTGACATATCAAAATCAATTTGTGTGTGTGTGTGTGTGTGTGTGGTGTGTTTTGAGCATGCTTTACATTATGGCACTCTGAAATGCACCAGCTTGTCTTGTATCTTTTCTTTCCTAGTCCTAGAATCAGCTGTTTCTTCAATGAATCCTATCTCCTTTTATTGGAGAATGACATTAGACAGGAAGATTTTAGGGTATGCATACTGGCTCATGCTTGTAATCCTAGCACTTCTTGGAAGCCAAGATGGGAGGATTGCTTGAGGCCAGGAGTTTGAGACCGCCTTGGCCAACACAGGGAGACCTCATATCTACAAAAAATTTAAAAAAAAATAGCCAAGCATGGTGGCACACACATGTATTCCTAGCTATTTGAAAGGCTGAGGTGGAAGGATCCCTTGAGCCCAGGAGGTTGAAGCTGCAGAGGGCTATGGTCATGTCACTGCACTCCAGCAAGGGTGAGAGAGATCCAACTGCAATAAATAAATAAATAAATAAATAAAATAGAAATGAAGATTTTAGTGTTAGGTGTACTTCTTGCTTCTGGGGGTTTGTTACTGTTAGTTTCAGTTGATAGAATAGGAAATGTATGTATGTATACTAATCTATGTATACACGCATATGTATAAATTTATACATAATCATCTGTATCAATTTTAAGCTAAGCATTAGTTCATACCGATGATTCTAATGTTATTACATGGATCATTCTAGCATCTTCCTTTTGCTTATCTGGAGCTGTTTCCTCCAACAGTCAGCTATCTAATTCCCATCCTCCCCCATTCATTTACCAAATTGCTCCTTTCCAGTATACTTGTATAAGCATTTCAGAATTGTTAACCCAATTCCACATGAAGTGATTTATTGAGAAGAGTCCAGTGCTTACATACAATTCTTATGAACAGTTTCTTTTCCTTTTAGTTATTTAGCTAGGCAACTTTTTCTCCTACACTTTCAGTGAAATTCTTTCATACATCTGTACTACAATTAGATTGTTTGGACATATTCTGTATTAAATCCGGGGATCTGCCAACCACCTAACAGATTATCTATTAATTTACATGCATGAATTTGGTCTTAACATTAAGACTAACTCTGAGCTATAATTTTATGTAGATTTTTAGATGAAAATATTTAGTATATAATACGTTTGTAACTGATTTCTATTAGTCACATTTATTCTTTTTTTCTTTTCCTTCAGTTTTTATCTTTTTTGGTTGTAATTTTTTATGACTCCATTTTATCTTATCCCGTAGCATATTAATCTTACTCATTTTAAAAATTATGTAATACTTCTTCTAGAATGTCCAATATACATGTTTGACAAATCTTATTTCATCATAAATTAACATTATACTACTTCATGGATAATGAAGGTAATTTATATCAAGGAATTCCCAGTTCTTCCCTTTCATCATTGAAGATATTATTGTCACATTTATGTCATTTATTTGTATGCTTTAATCATTCAATACATTGTTACTGTTATTACCTTACAAACAGCGTTATCCTTCAGATAAATTAAGAATAAGAAAATTGTCATCTTTGTTTATTTTTCTTCACTTACCTTCTTTCTCTGCTGCTTTTTTGTTTGATAGATTTGAGTTTCTGGCCTATGTCATTTTTCTTCTCCCTAAAGAACTTCTTATCAACATCTTTGCAGAGAAGTTCTACTGGTGATGATTTCCTTCAGTTGTGAGTGTGTGTGTGTATGTGCATGTGCACGTATGTCTGAAAAACTCTATTTTTCTTTTTTAAATTTTATTATTATACTTTAAGTTTTAGGGTACATGTGCACAAAGTGCATGTTAGTTACATATGTATACATGTGCCATGCTGGTTTATAGAATAATAATTTCATTGGAAATATACTTCTAGTTTGATGGTTTGGATGTTTTGTTTGTTTTTATCAACACTTTAGATGTTTTGCTTACTCTTACTTTGCTTTCATGCTTTCTTATAAGAAGTCTACTCTAAGTCTTATTATTACTCAGTAGGTAAGGTATATTTATATTCATTTTATTCCTCTGATTTCAATCAAGGTTTTCTCTGTGTCACTGGTTTTCTGCAGTTTAAATATTAAACGACTATAAGTAGATATTTTGATATTTGTCTTCTTTGGTTTTCTTTGATCTTCCTGGCTCTGTGGGGTGTTGACTGTCATTAATTCTTACCCGTTTTTACTTCAAATAGTTCTCCTTTCTCTCATAATGTAACATGTGACCATGCTTTTAATTTCACTAAGAAAATAAACCCAGTAACATTACAATCTTATTCCCCCACCTCAAATTTTACTAGCTTAGCTTACCTACAAATTCTGAATCTTACTTACAAATTTTGCCTTCATTCCAGTTTTATTAGAAGTATGGGACATAATTGGTAACAGTATTCTATCTCTTACCTACTGAATGGCTTCTCCTATAATTAACTCCTGTACTACATTATTGGTTTCCTCTCTCTCTTCTTAACATTTCTGAAGATATAATGAATGCTGTAACATTCTTGATGAAAAATTCAACCCTTGCTTTCTAGCTACTGCTCTGTTTTGTTCTATACTGTAGAAAAAATACTCAAGCAAGTTGGCCATGCTTCCTACTTTTACTTTCTCACATTTTGATGTTCCATCAGCTTTTAGCATAGCTAACCAGTCAGTGGTTTTAAGCATCGTGTTGTACAACTAATATTTAATGAATGCCTACTTGATGTTTTTTGTTTGTTTGTTTGTTTTGACAGAGTCTCGCTCTGTCGCCCAGCCTGGAGTGCAATGGCACGATCTTGGCTCACTGCAACCTCCTTCACCTCCTGGGTTCAAGAGATTTTCCTGCCTCAGGCTCCTGAGTAGCTAAGGTTACAAGTGCATGCCACCATGCCTGGCTAAGTTTTGTATTTTTAGTAGAGATGGGGTTTCACCATGTTGGCCAGGTTGTGTCTTTCACATCTCATCCTCCCCTGCTATTTACCCAATATTGATGTCCCAAATATCAAACTAATCAGATTGCTTTTGGTAGCAACTTGACCACAATAAGCACAGCTTAGAAGTGTGTGTATAGAGGAGAATTAAATGTTCAAAAGTTCCATTGCTCATAAACTAGGAAGAAAAGCTGGCAAGTAAATTGCCCAGTGTTGTCTTTTATATGGCTATACGAGATATGTAAAAAAGCATTCTAAACACTCCCCTAGAGATCTCAAAAGAATCAGTTTCCGAGATTAGCATATCTTTATATTGCCTTGTCTTCCTTCTCTGTCTCACTGTCTTCACTCCTTCACATATCTTTTATGAGATTAATTCATTAAAAATCTGAAATTCTAATATTCTTCTCAGGGTCTGCTTTTAGGGAAAATCCAAATTAAGTTAGTTATCTTTGATTTATTTTAGACTGACCATCTACCCTTAAGCCGTCAGCTTAAACTTCATCTACAACTCTATTTTCAAAGTATATCTCTTAAATTCAACCATGTCTCATCACTTATACTGTGGCTCTGATAAATCACAAAACCCTAATTTTTTATGGTTGAACTACATGTACTGCATTCCTTGGAGTAAATCAGTAGCCATAAACAATACCCTTTCTTCTCTTTTCCCTAGCGCGTTTCTCTGTAAAGCAGTACAATTTGAACATTATAAAGTCAAAATAAATCAAATCCTTTATTTATATGTAATTTGCCATTACAGGTAAGTCTATTTTTTAAAGGCCGGCATGATTTCTTTCATTCCTTCATGTGTGACTTCCCCTCAAAACATTCTTCTCCTTTCTTATTATGTCCCAGTCTTTCTGTTTGTTTTCTTCTATTTGTCAAATGTACCAAGTTTGTCTCTGAGAAGGACCATCATATTTGTTGTAACATGTGCCTTTTCTTTTCCATCTTTACTTGACTCTTTCTCTTGACTTTGTTCTCTCCTCACATAGCTACACACCCCCGTCCATCCAATCTAAAATATTCCACTCATACTCTTTGCTTATCCTTCTTTCTTTTTTATCCCTTTGTATAGCATTCCTGACAATCTGAAATTATACTCTCATTGTTAGTTCATGTGTTAATTGTCATATTCTTTCACTAGCATGTAAATTCCTTGAGGCAAAAACTTCATCACTTTAACAGAAGGAATAAAACCTCTGATGTAAAATGTGGGTAAAGCAGCTGAAATCAATCATAAAATACTTTTTAAATTTTCAACGTAAACAGCAAATATTGTATTACAAATAATTATAAAGAAATTATATGAAGTTATGATGGCAAAGAGATATTATTTGGAACATAAGGATTATAAAACAAACAACATAAGTATATCCGAGTTGAGTTTACTCTAGGTAGATATAAAATATATACTTTACTTGGGGACTTAATTTTAATTGAACTCTGGGGGAAATGTGAGAATACAAATTCCGGTCATTTAAACGAAGATGATAAGTTTTCAGGATGATAAAATCTTTAACTGAGTTAGTTGAGTTTAATGTGAAGTCATTTATTGGAAGAAAGTAGTACACAGATCAATAGTTTCTCTGGGAAAAAAACACATTCTGCTCAAAAGCATATAAAGATTTAGCAGTATGATCAGTGCAGAAACCTTTTATCACCTAGATTATATTTTATTTTATATCTTTGTTCTGCAGATTTAAAACATGCATTGTGAAATTGTCAGTTACATTCATCTCATTCATCTTGTGGATGATTAAAATAACCATTGGAAACATAAATGTTCACATACATAATTTAAACTGATGTATACTATATATTCTGTAAGCTGAATGAGAAGAAACTCAATTTATCAATACTAGCATTTGTGCAAAAGACCTCTTAAATTAATATTGACACAACTTTTTAATAGTAGCTGATGTTATCTTTTAGAAAGCCAGACACTTTGCCTTGTGGCCTGTAAGTACTGGTAGGGAATTTTGTAGGTAATAAACCTCATGTTATTTAACTAACCTTAGAGTCTAAAAAATATATGATTTTGTGTGGGATATAGAAGAGTGAGGTAACGGAAAACAATGATTTTAGTTTTTTTCCTTCTTTTGGTAATGTTAATTTTTCTCTGAATGCATTAGTTTTCTATTGCTGTGGCAACAAATTACCACAAACTTAGCAGCTTAAAACAATACCAGTGTATTAACTCACAGTCTGTATGATAGAAATCAGACCATGAATACAGTATACCAGGCTTCCCTGCTTAGGGTATCACATGGTAGAAATCACAGTGTCACAGATAATGTCTCACCTGGAGCTACAATCCTCTTCCAAGTTCCTTCAGATTGTTGGTAGAATTCATTCCCTAGATTCACTTTCTCTAAGGACTGAGGGGTTGTGCCTTTTACCTTTAGAGCCAGCAGCAGAAATTTTCAGACATTGTTGAATCTCTTGTGCTTAGAATTCCTGACTTCCTGTCTCTGACCTCAAAATCCAGGTTTAAAGGGCTCATGAGATTAGGTCAAGCCTGGTTGGATAATCTCCCTTTTTAAAAGTCCATTGTGACATATAATGTATCCTACATATGGGAATATGACCCATTAAAATTGCCATGCCTGAGATTATGAAAGGCATATCCACCAGAAGGCATCAATCTTGAGATTGACCTTGAGAGGCCATCTTAAAATTCTGCCTGAGTTATGAGTAATGCCACCTGACAGAAATACTTGTTTTTCCTTCTCCAGTTAGGAACAAGAAATATATTTGATTACATTCAAGCTAAATATTTATTAAAAATCTTTACTGTATTAAGGACTTCAATAGTATTTGTAGAGTCATATAAATATGTATGTTAAAATAACTCTACCCTAGGGGAACATTTTTTTATTTGTATGTTTTTATAAGTAAATGAAAAAGAGGTAGTATGGGAGTTATAAAACAAATGTGCCTCTCTAATATAAGTATGTAGAAAATATAATTTCCTTTCCATGGAAAGTATTCACATTAATTCCTCTTGCTCACCTATATTTATTATCACACATGACATTCTTTTTCTGTTGTTTAATAATTCAAAGAACAGTTAGAAGATACACTTGCCTCAAGATAATTTCTCATATCTCCCAAAAGTATGCTCCATGTTATGGAGATGATGTATCACTTTTGTTTCTTGACATTCTAAAACTAGGTAGATAAGTTTATCTTATTATGATATTCTGACTAGAAAGCCCTTCCTCTAAACATTCTACTTTGCCTAGGCAATTTTTAGACATTTTGTTTAAATAATATGCTCATGAGTTAGACTCACAATTTTGGGGTGAAAGACTAGAATTATCATAAATAATTTGCATCTCCTTGCATTAAGAGGTGGGTTCCATTTCCCTATCTATTGAGTTTGTGCTGGATTTGGGAACTGCTTTAACCAACAGAAGGAAGCAGAAGTAAATTTTGTGCAAATTCTGGGAAAGGGCTCAAGAAGCCCTGCTTTTTTCTGCTCTGATTTTCCTGCTGCTCTGAGATTACCGGGTAAAAACAGCCTGAAGTATTAGGAGAGAAGATCACCTGAGAGCCATCTAGGGCCATTCAGTATTTTTAGCCGCTACCTAACCTAATAATAAATTAAAATAAAACACTTACAACCATGTATTTAATTTTATTAAATGATTTGAAATTTTTATATACATTTTAGATAATATGATTGGCTTGACGATAAAAAAATGTTTTTGTGTTATATTAGTCAAAACCATAGAAAATAGAGTTGAATCAACAAAAATAACTCATAAACAAAATAGAATCAACATATAAAGAAGCATTAGTGTTCTTGGTTAATAAGTCAGTCAAATTTTCAGAAACATTTTTTTAGCAAGGAAATACAGCAGGTTGTTAAAAACAAGGGCTATGGAAATAGCAGTCCTCATTGGTAATCTTGGCTCTGATAATGATCAGAATAAATTACTTAATCTCTCTTTCTTTAGTTTTCTCATCAGTAAAACACAGACTTCTGACTCATAAGGTTATTGGAAATTTGGCCGTGTTAATATATGAAAATCCATATAGTCATTGTTTATTGCCACGTAACAAATCATCAAATACTAAGCAATTTAAAAATAATACACATTATCTTCCGGTTTTCTGTGGGTTATGGTCTGTCCATGGCTTAGCTGGGTTCTCTGCTTCAGATTCTTATTAGGCTGTAATGCATGTGTCAGCCAGTACTTTGGTCTTACACAAACTCAACTGGAGAAAGAACCTTTTGCAAGCTTTCTCAAATTAGCAGAATTCATTTCCTTTTTGGCCACAAAGCTGAGGCTTTTAGTTTCTTGCTGATGGCCACACTCAATTTCTAGAATCCTTCTGAAGTTCTTTGCCATGTGGGCTTATCCAACAAGGCCACTTAATTTATGAAAATTTACTTCTTCAAATCCAGCAATAGAAAGAGAGTAAATTAACTATCAAGATGGAGTCTTGAGAACATACCATAACCACACAGTAGTATCCCATCATATTTGCCACATAATTTACTTAGAAGTAAGACACAAGTACTATTCACACCAGAGGGGAGAGGATTATTCAAGGATGTAAATATCAGAAGACAGGAATTATTAAAGGTCATTTTAGAGACTGTCCACCGAAAGCCCTTACCTCCGTGTGTGGAATAGAGTAAATGCAGAATGAATGTGAGCTGTCTAACAATTGCTATAAAAATCTCAGAACAAAATTGCAATAGAATATATAGCAATTGAAACAACAAAAATTTTACTAGAACAGTCATTATTTATTCATCTTCCTCCTGTGATTCTTAAAGCACATGTGCACAAATAAATAGTAACCAGTTTAAAATAGTCTAATAGAAAGAAGATTTGGAAAGATTAGACGTCTTAAAGATGTTGATTCAGCCACTTGTCACTGAGCCGATAATCAGCAGCTAACATCTTTGAGAGCTTGGCACTTACTCATTCTGGCTAAGCTTAAATGCACAGAATTTGTGAAAATGTACCTAAAACAATATATTTGATATAGGGGCTGAAATCCATTGGTCATTCTCATAAGGCTTAAGATGATCTATGACTCAAATAGTTATCTCTGAAATAAACATTTTGTATATTATTTTTCAAAATCTACTCTACATGGCAAAATAACTGAGAATCTGATAACTAGTTATAAGAGGATTGTTGTTTATTTTTTTCAGAATAAGTTTAGAGAGTTTTACCAATTTCAAGTTTTTGGACACAATGTCTAAGATTAACATGTATTCAGTGGCTTTTTAAAGTAGAATTTAAACATTCTTATTTTGTTTCCTAAGTAAAAGGCATAATTTTCACCATTTGTACTTGTTTTTGTATTTAAATGAGCAAATTTTTTGATACTGCTGCTTCCTTAATTCACCTTTTAATTTATGATTTATATCGTTCTCATTATGTAAATTCTAAAAGGGGGAAAATATCTCTTCAGGAGATATAATAGAGAAATATATCTGCACTATCCATAGCAGTAATATAGGTACCACTGAAGGTGCTGAATAAAAATCTAAAAACTGATTAGTTTTCTTCCCAGTTATACTTCTCAGTAGAAAAACACTAGAAATTTAGAGGCATTTGTACATGCTGGTTATTCCTTGTAGCATTAAATGAAGCCCCCAGTAGTATATCAGTGGTTTCCATGGCATAGCTATGATTCACTTTGATGACATACAGCTTCCATAGTGAGAGAGACATGGGAAGAGGGGCAATGACATTTCTAAGTCAAATTGAAAAATGTCTTCAGACATGATTTTCTGTGTTGTGCTATGAATGTCACACTAATTCTAGAAGTATAGCTTTTATAAATTCAGTGATATGAATTTTTATATTTTATTTCTAAGCCAAAACAGTTATTATATTAAAAATTAAATTATTGGTGACAGTCCATGAAATTTTATTTTCAGAGGATTTTAGGTGTAACCTAAAGAGATGCATAAAAATGATACTATGAAATCATAGCATTATATGCTCTATATAATGAAAAATTATAGTTGTATATATTTAAGGGGCACAAAACGATATTATGATCTATAAATAAAATGTGAAATAATTAAATCAAGCTACTTAACATGTTCATCACCTCAATTACAAATCATTTTTGTAATGAGAATATTCAAAATTTACTCTCAGCTACTTTGAAATGTACAATACACTGTTATTTACTATATTCACCACACTGTACAATAGATCTCAAAGAAAAAGTAAAAATTAATCCTCCTGTCTAATTAAGGCTTTGTACCCTTGGATCACCATCCCCCCATTCCCTCCATCCCCTAGCCTTTGGTAACCACTATTCTATTCTATTATTTTATGAGTTCGATTGTTTAAGATTTCACAGAGAAGTAAAAGGAGGCAGTATTTGTCTTTCTGTGACTGGCTTATTTGTCTTATCTGTGACTATAATGACTTAACATTATAGTGTACAACTTCATCCATGTTGTTGCAAATGATAGCATTTCTTTCTTTTTCCATGGCTGAATAGTATTCCATTGTTTATGTATACCATATTTTCTTTATGTGTTCATCTGTTGATGAACACTTAAGTTGATTCTATAACTTGGCTACTGTGAATAACACTACAATGACTATGGGAGTGCAGATATCTCTTGGATTTACGGATTTTAAATCTTTTGGGTAAATACCCGGAAATAGGATTTCTGGATCATATGGTGATTCTATTTTCGTTTTTTTTTTTCAGAAACCCCATGTCTATGATGGTAATACTAATTTTGGTTCCCACCAACAGTGTGCAAGGATTTTCTTTTCTCCACATCCTCACCAAAACTTACCTTTTATTTTCCTCTTATTAGAGCATGGGAAAAAACCTCCGTTGTAATTAGCTTTATATAGCCATTACAGCTTCTAAAAACTAATTTTAATACAACTTTTATGATACTGTGGTAATTTGACATAAATAAGTTGAAGACCCGGATATGGTTTAGTATCTGAATTAGGCACATAAGGAAAAATACAAATAATGCTTTTATAGAATAATTGTGAAAAATGACCTAAAATAAATTATACAGACGGTCTATCCAAACCACATATTGACTTTTGCATTTGTGATAGCAGAGACTTAACACATTTCAGCATAATATCAATGAAGAGAGATGACTTTTATCATGTAATACCATCCCATAGTCATACTTGCTGGAAAGTGCTATGCATGCATGCTGGCAAACAGGAAATCTCACAAAGCTTCTCTCTCTCTTTTTTAATTAAATAGATCGTGTCAACTCCATAGTAAGTAAAGGCTTCAGGAAGCAAGTTAATTAGCACATATGGTCAAAATCCTTAATTTCTTATATAAAAACTGGCTGTGCTCTGGGAAAAATATAATTATAACTTTGCTTCAAAATTTAGGAATGTACACATACACACAGACTGCACACTTCTGTAAGGACTATTTCATGTAGGATCTCCATGTTGCTTATCAGTGAAAGATTGTGAATAATGATTTCCATAGCATGACCATCAGTTTTGCTTTAAACCTAGACACATGGATAGGTAGGTACATTATGAAGCTTATGAAAACACTCAACTAGAAACAGATGCCACATTGTGGTGGATAGGGCATTTTGTTAGATGAGAATTCATTTAAGTAATATGAGAGTGCTAATTGTGACAGACAGAAGAAAATAAAGAGAAATCATGGCATAGCCATGAAACTAGACTTCAAACGTGAGCAAGGCCTTCTACAAAGTACAGAAACTCAAATAAAACAGTAAGTCATTTGAACTGGGATTCAAAGGCAATTCAGAAAATAATTCAGCACCATCAATTGGATAATCATCCTTGTTCCTTTGGAGATTCTGACCAAGATAGTTGTACTATTAATGTGAATTAGTTTTGTCATGTAGGAGTTTCTCTCTCCTTCCATTGTCAACCATTTCCTGGTATCTCACATATAAATTCTCAAATGTTAGAGCTTTTAGGCAAAGCAATTTCGCGTTCACAGAACAGAGTATAGATTAGCTTCCTATAGATATGCTCCTGCCCCAGTATATTTTACAAATCATTTTTGTTCATCATTAGTAATCCCCAGTTCCTTAACAGCATCTCGTAGTATCAACTGTGACAATTTAGAACTTCTAAGTAATGCCAATATTATACTCACTCGTGGTATTAGTTATTGTTTCTTCCAAAGGGATGTCTTCTAAAATTTTCCTGGAAATTGCCAATGTATTTCTGACACTTTCATTCCATACATTGTGGACCATATCTTTTCCCAATATTTCAAGTTGTATTCCTGCATTGTGTTAAGACAGGTTCCAGGAACATTAAACTTTGGGATATGGATTGTCTCTGTGTCAACAATCTTCCCTTTCTTCAGATTTATACTTTGCTTTTCTTAGTTCAGGACATTCAAGATCACTTCTAGTGATGCTTTGCGAAGTAATTATCCAAGAATTAAAGTGGGAGAAAATATTGAGGAGTACAAGTGTTATATGGTAGAGCAACTACACAGACATCAGCAAAGAGGACCCTGCTATTTTCTAACATTGGGGATGGGAATCAGGGGGTCAGTATATTCAAGCTATTTACCCATATGGCCCCCTCCCAACTCTTAGGGCTTAACTACTTTCATGTGAGGATCCAGCTTGTAAGGTAGAAACATGTTGAGGCCCTGAATACAGGCTTTTCTGAAATTCTGATGGTTTTATAATCAAGTTATGTGCCTGTTATTTAGCATAGTCTGTCTTCCAGCTATACAAGAGGAGCATCTTTATTAAACACATCTGCTTTTATCCCAGACATTAAATTGATAATTTTATGACATTTGTCTCTAAATTTATTTTTTCAATACAAATTGTTAAATAAAATTCTTGGTCCTTATAATTACTATTTGTACATACCTCTTGAATACTAGGATGTATCAAATAATCCAGTGCTTTTAGCTTTTCTCTGATTTCTGTCTTTAGTGCCCAAAACATTTGTGGAATATAATGTTATTTATAAATAAAATAAACACTCTAATCCTTTGTTGCTAGAATGACATGCTCCTCTATTACCATTTCCATTTTATCGGTGAGTGCTGCCTGGCTATTCCATCCTGATTAGAATTTCTCTGCTACATTAGTCATCATGTAATAGTAATTTTGAGTCAGAATTTTGTGATAGGTCAGTGCTAGAAGCTCTTTCTCCCAGAAAGCCCAGCAACAGGCCAGTTATTTTACTTTGAAGGAAATATATTTAGCTGATGTCTCAGGTAACTTGCATCAGAGGTAGAGAACACTACTGAATATTGAAAATAAGCAAACAAAAATGATGATTTACTTGCACTCCAAGCAGCAAGAACTGTATTTGTGAGGCAGTGATTCTTGGGTTCTACAAAAATCTTATAGCAACTGAAAAGTTAGTTTCTTCGTGAATTCTGGAAGGAGACAAAAATGCTCTCTGCTCTTTTATTCAACATTTACTGTAGCAGTAAAATAAAACAGGGATTAAAATAACAAAATAAGAAACAGACTAGTCAATATTAACAGGTGTCATTATTATGTACATAGAAAACTCAGATTAATCTACAAACAACCTACTTAAATACATGAAATGCATTTGAAAACTCAATGTTGTAACAATATTGATTCTTCTTAAGTTTGTCCATGGATTCAGTGACAACCAAATTAACATCCTAGTCAATGTGTATTGTGTGTGTGTGTGAGACTCTGTATTAGTCCGTTTTCACACTGCTATAAAGTAATGCCCAAGACTGGGTAATTTATAAAGCAAAAAGGTTTAATTGACTCACAGTTCTGCATGGTTGGGAAGCTTCAGGAAGCTTACAATCATGGCTGAAGCACTTCTTCACATGGCAGCAGGAGAGAGAAGAAGTGTGTGAGAAGGCAGGAACTTATAAAACCAACAGATCTTGTGAGAATTCACTCACTATCATGAGAACAGCATGCGGAAATCATCCCCATTATCTAATCATTTTCCACCAATTCCTCTCTTAACACCTGGGGATTACAATTCAAGTTGAGATTTGGGTGGGGACACAAAGTTAAACCACGTAAATCTTCTACTCTAAATAATTTTTAAGTATAGAAGAAATCATAACAGAATCAAAATAATACTCAGAACTAAATGGTAAACTTGGCATTTCATGACTGATTTTAAGTAAATTAGTTTGAAGATTTTAATAAAGCAAAGATGCCTATTAACATCATCTCTATTCAACATTGTAAGATGGAGAGCAGGGCACAGTAGCTCATGCCTGTAATCCAGTACATTGGGAGGCTAAGGCAGATGGATCACTTGAGCCCAACAGTTCCAGAGTTCCAGACCAGCCTGGGCAATATGGTGAAACCCATTCTCTCCAAAAAATAAATAAATTAAATAAATAAAATAAAATAAAATAAAAATAGCCGTGCATGGCGGTGCATACCTGTAGTTCCAGCTACACAGGGGGCTGAGGCAGGAGGATCACTGAAGCCCCAGAGGTCAAGACTGCAGTAAACCATGATCTGGCCACTGCACTGCAGCCTGGGAGACAGAGCAAGACCCTTTCTCAAAACAGAAAAACAAACAATGACAACAACAAAACATGGTAAGATACTACCTCTCCAGCATTATCAAAATGGAAATACAAACACAGAATTAGGAAGAAATTAATCGAATTGTCTTTCTTCAAGGGTAGTTTAATTTGCTTCCATAAAACCCTGAAAATCTGAAAATTGCTAGAATTATACAGAAAGCTTAGTAAGGTGGCTATATATAACAACAATAAAAACAAATCACTTGCATTTCTATAGACCAGCAACAAAGTAATATAGAAATCTAATTTAGAAGAGTTATTATTTATCCTGGCAACTAATATCATAAGGTACAAAGAAATAAATTTAATATGGTGTACAAAACTTTAATTAAGAAAATTAGAAGTCATTTTTCAAGAAAGTCAAATATTTGACCAAATGGAATGGAATATTGCTTTCATATATGAAAAACTTCAATGATGACAAAATTTCCCAAAATAATTTAAAGACTCAGAATTCTTCCCATATAATTTCTCAAAGGAATATGAATGAAACTTAGAATGGCAATCCTTAATTATTATTAAGAATAATGGTCCAAGGATACACAAAAACATTTTGAAGAAGAAAATAAGGGATTTTTCTTATATTGTATCAAGATTAATTATAATGAAATAGTAATTAACGCAAGTGAATTTTACAACTTTTACCCTACACACCTTCCTGCTTAAAATTAATGTCTATTAATTTCAATTCTAGTAGTCTCTTTTCAATATTCAGAAAGTATTTTATCCATTTCCTTTTTTTTGCTATACAAAAGTGATAAAAACCCCTAACTCTCTTCTTTATCCAGTGGTCCTGTCCCTGAGATGTTGAATCCTTTTTGAGAACTTTTCCCACTGGGGATACTTTCTGCCCATTTAAGTAATGGTCATCAACCTTAACGAGACTCTAAATATTGTAATCCTGCTATTAAAAATTTCTGAGTTTTCTAATTCTATGTAGTGAGTACTAGATAAAAAAATTCATTATCGTTTTCAAACATTTATCCTATTAACATCTCCCTATATCTTTACCTTTCTTAAAGGAGATGTCCCAGTTTCTTAATTCACGGAATAAAAAAAATCAAGCCATCTTATTCTGTCATGATACCCTTATCTTCTTTCAGCCGTATTACAAGTGTGTAAGTACATTTCCCCAAATTTGATGTATTCCCATGTTTGCCTATACTCCCTACCCTTTCACCTCATTAGGGTCCTTGTACTTTAATTGCATCCCTCTTGATGTCATATCTTCAATTTATCTTATTTTATTAAGTTATTGTAAACAGCATCTATATATTCTGTCTCAGATATAAACTAGTAAGACAAATAACAATAAAATCCTTTTCAACCTCACTCCACCTTGTAGGCACTCCCCGGTATTTGTTCCTTTCTTCAAAACCAAATTTCTGAAATAAATTTTCTATACTTACTATTCCAATATCCTCACAATCAACTTCTCAGTGCACCAGATCTTGACTCCACCTTTCTACTTCAACATAACTTTAATTACTCAAAACTCAAATTATATCCATGTCACTAAATGCATTAAAACTCTTTCACATTGTCATCTTACTTGAGCACTCATGGAATTTGTATTACTTTATTTACCAATTATCTTCTATTTGTTAGGCAGTTGGGTTATTGTAATACCATGATGATCAAATTCATGCATAATTCTTACATTTAAAGCTCACAGGCAAGAGGTAAAGAAATATATTTACCTAATAATCAACGATTCAGTATGTCAGAGGAAAGTTACAGGGTACATTATGAATATAAAATAAGGATAGTGGCAGTCTATGAACTGATACTTGAAAGAGAATTAGGACAAAGAGCAAAGAGAAGAGTATTCCAGGCAAACACCAAAGCTTATACAGTTGTCAGAAAGCTGAGAGAAGCATGGTGAAGCTGCAGAACCCAAAGAAGACCAGTTTAACCACAGAAACAATAGTGACAGGGCACCTGTAGAGAACAGGTTAGAATTACCGGAATAAAATCTGCAGTTAAATGTAGTAAAAGATGCATGTATTAAGCACAGTGCCCAATACTTACCTTTTCTGCTCCTCTTCCTCCTCCTATCCTCCCTTTTCAGGTAGACCCCAGTGTCTGTTTTTTGCTTCATTGTGTTCATAGTTCTTATCATTTAGCTCCCACTTATAAGTGAAAACATGCAGTACTTGGTTTTCTGTTTCTGAGTTAGTTTTCTAAGGATAATAGCCTCCAGCTTCATCCATGTTCCTGCAAAAGGCATGATCTTGATTGGATAAAGAAAATGTGATACATATACACCATAGAATACTAGGCAGCCATAAAAAAGAGCGTATTCTTGATTGAGTGCTTTAATCTGATTATTAAAAATGACCAATCCACACCAAAAAAGAAAACTATTGTGATTGTTTTATTAATCTTTAATTTGTCAAGTGATATATCCTTCTTCTTAGAAATCAGAACAATAATACAGTGTTAAATTTCTCTAGACATCTGAACCCTCATAACATCCTGCCACCTTTGCCTTATGATAGCATTTTATTGCATTCAACATGTCCTTTCATAACCTCTTTATTTGGTAATATAATATGGATAAAAATAATATATAGCACTAGTTTATATTTTAATGAGGTGTAAGAAATTGTCTTTATGTAATGGAGGTCTTAAAGCTACTGTAAAGCAAGCTATTCCAGAAGTTATGGAACAGAATGTATCTCAGGCCAAACTAAAATTCTTGAATGACATAGTTTATAAACTCAGTTAAAACCATATAGTAAAAGCAAGAGGAAAGCAATAGGATAGGATGAAAGATTATACTACCTGAACCCTGGATTATGCAACATTTATTTGTGTGTCTATTTCTCTCCACCATATCAGTCTTTCCAACTGATGGTGGTTAATGGGGACCAGATTTAAGATTTGATTGAGGAGTCCAACAGAATGATTGTACCAACACAAATATACTTTTTTTCCATCAAAGAGATGCCAGGGCAAGCAGTCCTGGTCATAGCTGTAACTCACGAATTAATCTAATGAACAGTAACTGGTAGTTAGCTGTTTCTTGGAAAGAGCCCAGGAGGGGCCAAATTAGAACATAATGGAAGTCACAAGCAGACGGCCAATTTAGGGATAACAACTGTCAGCCCAGTGGTGCAATAATCATAGCCTATGACTTGATCTTTCCCTTTATATCTATTTGAAAGTAGCACTCTTGTTTATTCCACTTATTTCATCTATGTTTAACATGTCTTAAATATTACTAACTTGCAATATATACTTAAGCATATCATGAATTCTATCTCACAGGCAACTTCTTTAAACATTACACACACACACACACACACACACGAGATATTACCTGTATCTCATAAAATACTCGCTAATTTTTGCTTAACACTTAAGTGTTGTATCAATTCCTTGTGTTTTTCTAGTGTTTTTGAGCAGTCATGAATATCCTCAAATAACACTTCAGAGACAAACTACATTTTATATAAATTGTATCAAACTCTCTGTATTATTTGGTAACATTTTTTCTGTATATTACATTTGTAAATTATCAAGATTGTTCTATACATATGTATCTGGATCTTACTTCAAATGATTTATACTTATAAAATTTTGCATCCATCTAGTTAGCTTTTTCATTATATATCATATTTAGACACAACTTTCCTTCTTTCCATCTTCTTTCCTACATTTTCTTCCTTCTTTCTACAAATATAAATGATTCAAATAATATAGAAAATTTTGAAATGGAAAGAATGGTTTAAGACGTTGCCCTACTTGGACAAGTATACATTACTATAGACAGTGGTGAATCAGAGGTGGTGAAACAATTACTAACAGAACATTTTGTTCCAGTTCCACATATTCCAAATCCCCATGGGGTGAAGGAATAAAAGAAGAAAGTCACTCCATATATTTCAGGGTATGTATCAGAGGAGGATAACTCCAAACCTATGAAACTGGGAACTTATATAAGGTAGCTGGCAATCTACCTCTCTAGAGATGAAAATAAATTGATGTTTGCTCTAGATATAAAGAAATGCTCTCTAGAGAGAGCAGAAGGTCTCTAGGTTTATAAACCGGTGAATGTAAACAAATGGCTTCAGGGAAAATTGTTTATAAATCTCTCAGAAGGTCCCTATATTTAATTTCCAAGGCTTGTTTTTCCTTCAGTCATTCTTTAACATAGGTTGTCAGTAATCTTTTCTCAGTAAACCATGAGTGTGAAGAAACGTGAAAATATTTATTGATCATTGTTTCCTGACAGCTGCAACTAGTGTCTTCATAATTTTTTCCTTGTAAATTGACCTTTTATTTGTTACTTTCTTAAATAAATTGTACAAGTAAAAATAGATCACTTTCAACAAGATAAAATCAAGCTAGGTACATATTTATTCCTTCAATATATCAATTACAAAGAAAATAATACAGAATTACTATGGTAATTCTTAGAAGAAATGTCATAACTCTAGATTCCTGTGTGCATTCAAGATTTCATTCATGTGTTAAAAGAATGAGAAAGTTAAGAATATTTGAAAACATATTTTGACACCTACTGTCTTCTCCAGAAATACTTGATGCAATAATTGCAATGAATATACAACTTTTGTTTTACTACCTGATGCTGTGTATTAATTATTCTCAATTGTTGGCAGAGAGAGGTAAGGATAATATGTTTCTTATTCCACAATTTACATAGTTTGAGAAATTGTAGAGCATTATAAAAGTACTTTTATTTCAGGTAAATGGAAAATATGTACCCACTCTTTTTGGTAATGCAATATACAGAAAGGGTACAAGAATATTATTTCTTACTAAAAATACTCGGGTTAAAGAAGAATGAGTAACACATCTATGTACTGCTGAAAGAATAAGCCGTGTTAACTCCTAATTTAACTTAATAAGCTCTTTACTTTTCAAACTACAAGTTTGTTTAAATGTACTTTTCAAAATAAAGTTTGTTTAACTCATGAGAAAGAATTAGAATAATTTATGTAGGAATAAGATTTTCTTCTAAAGTTTCCTGATGTCTGCTACATATTGAATGTTAGGAAGGATATAAAAAGGAAATTTTCAATAGCTTGAAGAATCGATTGCTACTTCTTATCTAATGTATGGTAACAAGAATTGTATATTCCTCATCGTGTACATTTTATTGTGTTATTTCTTGTGATACCATTTTTACAGATATATGTGGGTAAATATAGCTTTCTCATATGCAGATATGCTAGAGCACCCTTTTTGCATGGATACGTAGAGAGGACACAATGAATAGAAATCAGCATTTTGGCTACCAGTTAGATTACAAAGAATTGCATGGCCTGTGATAGTAAAGACAAGCTACAGTGAATAAAGTACTAAGGATAATTCATAGCGGGACAGGCTTCAGATGTATTAACTAAGAGAGTTTTGTCTTTGTGGCTTGTTTTCGGTTGAATTGTATGTCCCGTCCCTAAAATTCATATGTTGAAGTTCTACATTTTGGTACATCTGAATGTCATAATTTGTTAAGAAGAGGTCATATTGGAGTAGGATAAGCTTTCTGATACAATATGGCTTGTGCCCTTATAAAAAGAAACAATTTGGACATACACACACACACACACACACACACACACACACACACACGGAGGGAGTAAACTTTGTGAACATGAAGACAGACATTCACGTGTCAAAGCTTGCCAAGAAACACAAAATAGTAGGAGAGAGGCATAGAAAAGATTCTCCCTCAGAGCACTTGGGAAGAACCAATATTACCAGCAACTGGATTTCTAGACTCCAGAACTGTGAGACTCTATGTTTCTGCTGTTTAAGTCACCTTGTTGTGGTACTTTGTTATGGCAACCCTAACAGTCATATATGACCCCTGTATCTTTTCTTTCTGCTAAGAGTCAATGACATGCATCACCTAATGGGCCCTAGTTAATTCACTTCATGGAAGAGGAGCTGATAAAATGACCTAAAAAAGAACAAATAAGTCAACTTATCTTCTAATCAGATGTTTAATATTTTAATATAAATTAGAGTTTTGAAAGCAAAGATGCAATTATTTACAAAGAACTAAGGTCTTGAGAGAGAAAAGGTGAATGACATTATTTCAACACCAATACTGTCTTTGTTAAAGCAAAATATAATATTTAATCAAAGAGAACTTTCAGTTTACTCTTAACAGAGTTCAGGGAAAGGCACTGGTATGTGAGAGTGAATTTTTCTAGTTTAAAAGGGAGAGTCAGTATGCTTATAGGATAACTAAGGATAAAGATAGTAGCTTATACTTGGGAAGCTGAGACAGGGGAATCACTTGAACCCGGGAGGCGGGGGTTGCAGTGAACTGAGATCGCGCCACTGCACTCTAGCCTGGCGACTGAGCAACACTCCATTAAAAAAAAAAAAAGTAGCTTAATGGAGGTCACTCTTTTTCATGTGGTTATCTTAAAAGGGTTTTTGGTTTCTTCCTCAGTAAAAAACTTTAGGGAACCTCAAACTTCTGAAACCAAAGATACCTATGGCTAGGTTCCAATGGGGTGGACTATGGAAGTGAATCTCTCATAGAAGAGCCCACTCCACACCCAGCAGCACACCAGTACTATTGACTGACAGTTGTTGGATAAAGCATCTAGGTAAGTACTTGATGGCAGCCTCACAGAACACTGAGCATCCCATATATTATGAAAAGAACATCCAAATGTCTGTTCTCTACAGTAAGTAGTGGAGAAGTTTCTGAGAGAGAATTAGAGAATCTATATAAGCCTTAAGTTTGAGATGAGAAAAGTGGGATGACCAGAAATGATGAGGAGATAGGGTTATCACAGAACAATCCAGAATAAAATATGAATGCGTAAGTCCATCAGGCATTTTTTCATTTCAGCAAAAGCCTGATCAGATAGGTGCTAACAAGTGAGAACCAGACTTCTATTGCTAGTTTTATGCATGGGGAGTTTCACAATAAAGAGAGATGTGAAAATAAACTTCCCAGTCTACAAAAAGACATTGGTAAAACAGAACTAAACAAAAAAGTTAATAGGTATAGCTGGAAGAGAATCACATATATACTATACATGTATGTACATGTACAAATAGACACTTATAGATGTAATTCAGAGTATATGAAATTCTGTTAAAACCCAAAGTCTTTAAACTGTTAAAATCATATACCAGGTATTATTAGAATACCTATTAGATAGAGTACTTTGTATACTTTTACATGTTTCATTTCATTTTGCTTTTTTGCAGTTTTGTTATTTGATTCTAGTGAGCTAGTAAGCTCAGATATGATTAATATCATCTGACATCTGAAAATAATTAAACTCTGAAAGGTAGGGATGTTACTTAAAACTGCACTTCTAATAAATCACAGTGGCAGAACTAGCACATCACTTACTGTACAGTGCCATAAAATTGTTAGGTTCCATTAGGCATTTTAAGCCATGGGTCAGACTGAGCCCCTGTTTTAGCTTTCAAAAGAGAAACCAGATCTTTCTCCAAACATAGTGCATTTTAAAAATCTTCTCCAAATACTATTGCAATCAGATTTAGACCTAAGATTATACTCTTTACCACCCTCCTTATAAAAGGAGAAATTATATCTTTTCCTATTAAGTCATAATCCTGTGGGAAGTAGTAATTATGTTGCATATTCTTTGCCCATATTATTCAAGTTATTTGGGTTCTTCCCATTAAGGCTTCTTCTGAATGCAATTGTCATCAAGGGCATGGAGCCCAGCACACGTGAAGTACCATGTCACTCTGCCCTTAACATCAGTCCTTCAAAGACTGGATGCTTATCAATGTACTAAAAACTAGAGAAGGAAAAGGTAACTTGGTCCCAGAGTAACAAAAAATAGAATCAATGTTTATATTTTATTCACTTTAGTTAACAAATATGAAGAAATGTATCTGGAAAAATTACTATATGTGATTTTATCATTCATGAAGAAAATGATGAATAATTCAATCCATAATAATAACATGATGATGATAACAGCTAAATTTGGAGTTTAAAAACTATGTCATGTACTATGCCAAAATTTTACGTGAATGGTACAATTTAAATCTCAAAACTCCTATGAGGATTTATCCTTATTATCATCTTTTTATAGATAAATAAATTAGTCTTGAAGAAATTAAGCAACATTCTCAAGTGCCACATAGTCTGTTCCTGTGGCCACGATTTGAACTTTGATCTATCTGAAGTCAGACTCCAACCCTTAACTGATAAAAATCAATTGCCATATATCCATTATCACAAATTCCTACTTAAAAGTATTTCTTTATTTTTTCTCAATTATTAAAATATAACTCTCAAGTAGTTTAGTGTCATAAAAATGTATACTCAATTTAGTCTTTAGTAAAAAGTGGTAGCTGATATCTAAATTAAAAAAGCAGTATCTGTTAAATTCTTCATAAGTGTGAACTAGTCTTTGAGTTTGTTTAGGTTTATTTATATCTCAACTTAAGAGAATAATTCTGATTACTATCCTATGATAGATAAAATGCTCTGAAAACTAAATAACTTTATAAAGAGCCTCATATTAGAGACTTCAAGTATTCAAGTTTTAAATATACTAGAAAACAATATCAAATACCTTAGATTTAATTAGCTCCAAATTGTAAACTTCCTACAGTGATAGGCTTATTCATATACAAAGCCCTGTTATGGTTTGAATGTCCACTCCAAAACTCATTTTGAAATTTATTCCCCAATGTGGCAGTAATGAGAGTTAGATCCTTTAAGAGATGAATGCATTATGAGGGCTCTGACTTCATGAGTGAATTAATCAATTCATGGATCAATGGATTAATGGATTAATAGGTTATGAAAAGGGAATTGGTGGCTTTATAAGAAAAACAGACCTGAGATAGCACATGAACAAGCTCAATCCCCTAACCATGAGATGCTCTGCACTGTCTTGAAGCACTATGGGGTTCTCATCAGCAGGAAGGGCCTCACCAGAGGCAGCCCCTCTGCCTTGGACATCTCACCCTCTATACCTGTAAGAAATCAATATTTTTTCTTTATAAATTACCCAGCTCAGTTATTCTGTTACAAGCAACAACAACAACAGAGATTAAAGCAAGCACTTACAAACCAAAGAACTACACATTAGTCCCTGGAGGATTAAAATAAGACCATTAAAAATCTGACAACACTTAACAGAAGACAACAAACCCTAGACCTGAAAAGGGCAAATCCAGCGCCTGTCAACAAAAATGATTCAGAAATTCTGAAACTCTGGCATAATGAGGGAGCAGGTGAATCTCTGGAGAATCCAAATCCTGAATTATTTTTAGCTCAAAACCACCACCCAGAATTCTATTCAGTCTGCTGGGTGGGCATCCTCAAAGACGAAACAGATACACTATCTAGTGGCTAGAGCAAATGTGTGTGTGTGTGTGTAGCTACTGATCCATAATGTTAAAACCTGTCAAAGACATTCACCTGAATGTTTTCAGTTGTGTAAGCCTATCTTCCCTAATATTATTTTCAATATATCATTCTGATAAAAAGAACAGTTAATTTCAAGTCTCTCTAACATTTTTCATCTTAAGTTACCTATAATTTTTTAAAGGCATTAAAAATCTTCCCTTTTAAAAATACCATTTTGTTTTTATTTTCTAGGGAAAGTTTGCCTCATTTATATTGAATAAGAAAGGTTGCAGCTAAACCTATCCTTTCTTGCATTAAAATGATAATACGGAATGGTATGTTTTTATCTAAATATGAATTGATTGAGAAGACAAATACATTTCCTGCTAATCTCAGCAAGCTTTGTGAGACTTGCAGGGGGTCGGGCTATTTCTTATGGCCATCTGTGGACTCCTGTGATGTGTTGTGAACAGTAAATTACATTCACATTGACACTGTTATACCTTCATAAAGCATCTTCCATTCTATGACTGGCACTGAAATTAATTTAAAAGTGTAAGTAACTGTCTGCTTTCTAAAATATATCATTTTAAGCCCACCAAAACTACTATGGCTTCTGTTATTCATATTGTAACAGAATCTTATTTTAAACTTTTAGAGAATGGAAATTTTATTTGAATCACATTAACTCTGTACCTAATGAAACAAGGGAAAACTCTAACAGAATTATTTACTAATAGCAATTGATATAAACAGTACTTATTTAAAGCATTACAAGTTAAATATTTATGAATAGCTTGTGGAAATCAGAAATTTTTTATGATAATTTTGTTTTTTATATACATGATAAAAGACCCACTTATATTTCCCAATTCTCTAAAAATCTGTTAAGTCTAAGTTAATCAGAATATCCTGGCCTATAATCATTTTGTCAAGTACAAATGAATGTGTACTATTATACTATTTTTTTCTGTAAAGTATACATCTCCATAAAGACTACATTTTTATGATTTTAGATAATGTACTATAAATAATCTCTTAGTAAATGTGCAATGACCTAGAAAATAGCTTCAGATTTTGAAGACACTTTTAATATTTGAATAATTTTGAAGTAAAATTTTAAAATGAAATTTGTATTAGAATCAAAAGACTGCTAAAAGCTTTCAGATAATTACTTTTAGAAAATATTCTTTTCCCAAGACAAAATAATTCTTACTGGTATTTCTCGAAAACATACCTTCCTCTAGACAGTTTGTTACATGGTTGATTTCTCTTGCAATATAAACTCTTGGACAATGTATATAATCAAAAATTAAATAAATAAAACATTGCATAAATGTTAGCCTTTTTCCTATACTGTTTTGAAAGGACATTTCTGGGAGCTTTGTATTTGTAAAGCTACAGCAGTATTCACTTAGAATATTGTTATTGTGAAAAAACTGACGGAGCACATAAATCTTTGTTCCCAATGGGAAGCTGACTGACCTTACATGATGACTAGAATGCTGTGAGATTTTGATGCGCAGCAGAAATATGACCAGAGAGGAGAGGTGTAGGATCGGATAGTCTGGCAAATGAACTGGCCTCACCTGCCACAATGAGCACGCAATTGTAGAAACTGGAATTTACATAAATCTTGTTCTTTATGTATCCTAATAGCATATTTGTGCTTAGTAGTTTATCAATTTAGGCAATCGATTTCACTAACTCTTCCACAATCACCTCCCCACTTCTTTTTTATTTGTTTACTTTGGTTTTGTTTCTGATTTTTATGATAACATCTTTATTGCTTAATGATCTGGTTTCAATACAGTTAAAAGGGAAATGACAGAAATGAAAATAATCTGGTTTTATTTGGAAGCTAATAAATATTTATTTATACTTGATACAATGACATTGCAAACTTGAAATGCTGGCACTCCAGATAGCCTTAATCTTTTCTTACTGTCACTGAAAATAATTACAAAACTATGGAATGTTTATGCAAAGATAGATGTTAAGAAAATTTCCACTTGCATTGTTTTCTTTTCAATTTTTAATGAGTAGTGACCATGCGTGAACTCGAAATTATAAAAGGACTAACTATTTACCAGCAGGTTAAAAGACAGAATTGTATCCCATTAATTGGTAATTAGGTACTTGCCAGAAAAGTTGCAGTTATCAATACTCATGATGGCTGAGACTAGCCATACACTCACTGCCGGAAAATGCTTTGATATTAGGAAAATTTGATGAAAAGTTTTTGCCTTTGAAATTAATCACCAGGATTGTGGGATTTTCTATAGAAAATTTGAGTCTAGTGCAAATCTCAACTCCAATAGTCTTTCTTCAGCTTCATAACCAATCTCCATTTCTAGAGATTCCATTCCTAAGGAATATCTTATACTCTGGTCTTTCTTCACATAACTTAGGTTATTTTTGTTTCTCATTTAAACACTCTCATAGTCACATGCAGAACTTACAGAGCCAGAATCTACTCCACCATCAAAATCTGTATTTGTAACCCCCTTTCCCCCCACCACCATTCTGCTCACTAGTTCCTAGAGTCACCTCAGTTTTTCAGTTTATTCATATTCTACAATTTTTTGATCTTATGGAGAATTTCAATACATATTCTTCACCATTTTGTCATCATTTATTTAACTCAAGTAGGACTTTACTTTTTCTTCCAAACACCACTTTGGACTTCTCCACATGAATTGAGTAGGACTTTATTTCCTCATCATTTATTTTGTGTATCAATAAGGGTTCAAGAAGAGAAACAGAATTACTAAGGTATTTATCATACATATTTGTGTTTGTGTACATGCATATATACATATACATAAATAGATGATAGATAGGGAGACATATGGATGATAAAGTGAGAGAGAGAAAGAGAGACTGACTTACCATACAAAATTGACTTAAGTGATTGTAATGCCTGTCTAAGGAAGATCAAACCCTATGGACCAAAGATCATAGACAGGATAGAACATATGGGCATTAGAGAAAGCTATTGTTCACAGTATTCAAGAAGCGATCGGGAGCAGGATGGAGCTCCCTGGGCCCAGGCAGAAGCTGTTGTGCCTTAGTGACATCTGCAAAATTCTTCATAGGAACACTGAAATTAGTGCTTAACTGAATGACTAGGACTGTAACCTCACCAAATTGACATATCAAAGGAAAGTCAGTTTCTGTAAAGATACCTGTTACTGCTTTTGTAAAGGTTTAATATAATATACTTGTGAGGTCATTTGGAACTGGAGATTTCATTTTAAAGTTCCAGTAAATTACAAATCTGTTTTAAATAATATGTAGGAATATTAATATTTTAATTGTATTTCTTTGTAAGTTTTATGGATTTTTGATTTTCAGGGAATTTCACTATATTGAGGTGAATTTTTTAATGGTATAATTTATATATTATTATGTATGGCATTGAGGCTAATTTAATGGTATAATTTATATATTATTTTGTATGGCACAAGTTTTCAAATATTCTTGCACTCACTTTTTAATGTCTGTGGGAGCTTTAGTGCTGCTGTTTCTTTGTTTCTCTCCCTCACTTTCTCCGTGTCTCTATTTCTCCACTTGTTCATTCTATCTAGTTGTTTATCTTTTTATTGTTATTTTTATAGAAGCACCTTATGATTTCATTTTTCCTACTTTGTAAATTATCTATTATTACTTTTCTAGATTCTTTTTAAAACCTATTTCCTTCCTTCTGTATACCATGTATTCATTTTGCCCTTAAATTTCTGGCTTCTGAAAAAGCAGCTTAAGTTCCTGATCAATAACTTTCTCTGTTTTTCCTAATATAAGCATTTAAATCCTTAATTTTTTTTTCACATTGCCTTAGCTGCTTTTCACAAATTTTGATATCTTGTGATTTTATTTTCTTTCAGTGGTATTTTCTCATTTTCTTAGCAACTTATTCTATTTTGGGACTATTTAGAAATATAATTCTTAATTCCTCACTATGATGAGTCATTTCAGGTACTATTTTTTTATTGTTTTCTAATTTAATTCCATTTTTATTCATAGAACATGCTCTGCATGATTTCAAACATTTTATGTTTTAGGATTTATTTTATGTCCCAGAATGTAGTCAATCATACTTAAAGTTTTGTGTGTACTTGAAAATAGCATGTATTCTGCAGTATTTCAATGTGTATTAGTATGTATACATATTTGTAGTACTATAAATGGTAATCCAATTAAGCTACTACAGAGTTCTAATAAAAGCTGCAAATCCATCTGATATTTTGCCTACTTATTCTATCAATTTTTTTTTTTGACAGAGTCTCACTCTATTGCTCAGGCTGGAGTCAGTGGCGCAATCTCAGCTCACTCCAACCTCCGCCTCATGGGTTCAAATGATTCTCCTGCCTCAGCCTCCCAAGTAGATGGGATTACAGGCACATGCCCCCATGCCCAGCTAATTTTTGTGTTTTTAGTAGAGACTAGGGTTTCACCATGTTAGCCAGGCTGTTCTCAGACTCCTGACCTCAGGTGATCCACCTGCCTCGGCCTTCCAAAGTGCTGGGATTACAGGCATGAGCCACTGCACCAAGCCTTATTCTATTGATTATTATAAGAAGTGTTAACATCTTGAACTATGATTATATATTCATCAATTTAAGCATATACATTTGATTTTGTTAAGTCCTCCTGAAGAAGTCTGTTTATAATATTAAATATCCTAGTTGATCACTGTTTTAAAATTTACTTTTTTATATATTTTTTTTCACTTAATGTAACTCTGATCAATGCTACTTCAGTATGCCTGGAAGTGGAAATTACAATGTGGATATTTTTAATGAGGAAAAAACTGGCTTTTAATTTTCAAGTGAGTCTTATGTACTCCCCCACATATTTAGACATATATGTATGTGTGCACGTGTGCCTATATATACTTATATACTTCATATATATATACACACACACATATATGTGAAGAGAGAGAGAATATGTATACACACATACCACATTTAGCAAGTTTTTAAGTACTTTAGGTGTCGAGCTGTGAATGAGAAAAAAGAGCAGGGAATTCAAATAAAAATAATGTGGACTTAATATAATTACTGGTAATCTTAGATTTTGTTTCTATTTACTGTTGAATTTTAGGTAAAAATTCAGAATATCTTAGAATAGCTCATCAAATTTCCAGTCCATGATATAACCCAGCCCCATCCCATAGAACATGATACACTGATTTTTACATATTATAGTTCTTTTATATATTTAGTGAGAAGCATTATTTATCAATTTTCTTTAATGTCTTATTGTATTGTGTATTATATAAATAATTCTATCAGTATATTCCTGTTTAAAAATGATTTTTGTAAGGCTTCACTAAGTTGAAATTTCCAGACAAAGAAAAAGTTGTACCGTCCCTTTTTTCCTTTAACGGAATCAAGTAAATCTGAATGTGTTAGTGGTCTACATTTCCACTGAGGATAATTGACAGACACTGAGGTCTCTCCTTTTAAGTAACTGTCAAAGAGTATCCTAAGAGGCTCTAGGGAATATGGTAAGCGATTGCTAATGATGTTTATGTGTCTAAATATCATCCTAACAATGTAACACTCTCCCATTAACAAAATTGTTTCTACAATTACCATCAACATTATTCCAATAAATGTAATCTTGTTATTTCATTATGAAAGTGGTATTTTGTATTTCTTTATAAACATTAATATAAAATGATTTTTTCTTTCTTTAAGCCATTCATGTGTTCTACATAAACTGAGAAAATATTCCCAAGGATAAATATAATTTGTGCTAAATAATCTACTAGGGCCCTTGAGAACAATTTATAAGCTAATCTTTATTTTTTCCTTTACCTAAGAAATAAAAATTTAACATTAAAACACTTTATAATTCTCAAGTTTAAAAAACATATATTTGAAAGCTTCAATTCAGATATATGTACTTAATACATTAAATTTTAACTACATATAGGTAAAACAACATCTATGTAATAGAATATTTATTCATATATATATAAAATGTAAAGTCCATCTGAAATTACTCAGCTTGTTACAAAATCAGATGTTTAGTAGTTATTGTTGTAAGAATAAATCTGATAGTGTGAGCACAGACTAGACTCAAAGATAGATTCATTTATAAAAATAGATTTGAGTCTCTATTGTGTGCTAGAAAATGAAAAACAAATAGGTATTAGGAACCAATAGTAAGAGAGACAAATAATCTACTACTGTCATTGAAAATGAGCTTAAGTTTACACCCTAATTTTTAGGATAAGAAGGCCACAGACAATAGTCAAGGGGCACTAAGAATAATGGGAAATAGTCTGAGTAGAGAAAATGCTCAGACCACATATGTACCAAACACGTACCACATCATATGTAATTCCTGCTAGACTTCATTCTGGACTTCTTATATGCAAGGTAGTTTTATTTGTACACATAAGTTTTATTTGTACACGTAACTGACCTTGAAAAAAAGCAAATTAAATTGCAGAAATCTGAAATACAGAATGGCAAGCAGAAATTCCAATGTTAATAGACATGCAAAAGGCATGACCATGGCTCGGGGCCTGTGAAAGATGGAAAGCTAAATTGGAGGGTCACATGAACCCACAAATGTTAAGTCTATCAATGAAAGTATAAATAAGAAAAGAATAATCACAAAAAAATTAGATGGTAATTGAACTTGGTATCATAAACTTTTACACTGGTAAGTTGAGGAGAAGAAACATCCTCCACTAAAAATTCAAAATTATAAACAAGACTTCATGTTGGATTGCTGTCTGAAGGTCTAAAAAAATCCAAGTAGATAATTTGATTTTAAGAGTTCATGGATTTGAAAATGCTTCCAAGATTTTGGGCAAAGACATTCAAACCTTCTACAAAACAGTTTCACCTCCTACAAAATCCTAAGAAAGAAGAGCCCATGATGGAACATTACAAGACAAGAGAAATTAGTGTACATAACCAAGAGGAAACAGAAATATTAACAGCAGAATCAGCTGCTTCTATTCTTGGGTCCACCTTCCTTTCAGGCTTCAGAGTCCCCTATAGAAACCTAGAAGATAGAGAAAGAGAGTATAAAGGAAGTAAAACTTCTCAATTATCTTTGCTCAAATGTGCCTTTTATCTATATATTTTGCTGCCATTCTATTAATGATTTGTGTTGTCATTTTACTCATTTAAAAAGTGGTGGTGGAGGAAAGCCTATTGGGCTGGCGAATATAATCTCTGACTTGACAAAGATTTTTTTTGTTATGAATACGCTTCAAATTCCTGGAGTTATGCCAGCCATCTCTAGTGTCTGATTGATGAAAATGTTGGAGAAGAAACAGGAATACATGTGCAACTCATTATCACTTAGCAGATGCTATTTTAAAAGTATATTTACAAAAATATTAATGAGACTCAATATCTCTGTCCATTAGTTACTTTTCTCTCATAAAAATTAAAAAATAATAATGATTATCATTTTATCACAGGAATGTTGTGAAGACTAAATTGATGCATATAAAATATTTAATCTAGTGCTGGCTCATGGTGAGAAATACGTATCTTTGTACCACTATTATTATGATCTTTGAGACTCTGTGTTTTCTGGGTTAGTATTTAGAAGACAAACAGGACAAGGGGATGCAAAATGAAGGCACAGCTTGCCTTATACAGGATAGTCCATCAATTCCTCTATTGAAACAAGAGCCCTCTGTCTGATTCCCATTTCTGTGACCTTGTTGACATCTAAGCCTTCAAAATATGATTAAAAAGTCCATCACAGTCCATCACACATGAAATATTGTGAGATAAGTTGCCCCCGAGTAAGGCCAGAAGAATGTTTCTCTGAAAGGCTTAGACCTGATGCAAAAATGTAAATAATTGCTTCACTTGTCATAAGTAGTGACATGAAATCCCACAGATTTTTACTCTAGTTAAGATGAAGTGTTACTATTAATCTAATAAGAGAATTATTAGCATTACAGACATTTGGCATTCATTTCCTAAAAAATTAGCACATAGTTAAATTTAACTAAAGAATTTATTCAGCATTCTGCTAAGACCAGCTGTCACACAATGCCTGGCAATGTTGCAAAGCTCCTATTTGCATGCACATTCACAGATAGTAGGAATCCCTCCACTTTTTATAATGGATGTTGCATTTTTAGTGAAACATCTGTGTTGTCTTGAGTGTGTTATGACTTTTAATCTTTGAGTTAATATGTTTGTAGATGTGTTGTTTCAAATTTGGTTTAATAATTATTTAAATTTGTTTTAAATGTTCAATCTTTAAATATTTGATTAAATTGTTTTCAATGTGATTTGATTTCCCAATGGAAATTAATGTACCTTATTTTGATTATGATCTGTTTAAATTTACACAAAAAAAAGTATTTCAGCAATATTCTTAAGATACTGGTGTATTTTCAGTTGTGATTGTCATAATTAAAGTTCGACTGAAACTTTTTCATTAATAGTAGGATATTTAGTAGCATACATATCTTTGTACCATTATTGTTATTATTTTTGAGACCCAGTGTGTTTTCTGGGTTAGTATTTATGTTCACAGGGTATGAAGTAGTGTTTTATATACATATATATATGTATATGCATTTATATACATATATATATGTATATGCATTTATATACATTTCAAAGTAAATGCTAGGAAAATAAAGTTCTCAGATACAATAACTCAAATTTAATTTTTACATGCTGAAAACCTCCAAAAGAATATTGCACCTACATTTCCAGCTTTGGGGAATTCTGCAAGTTTATTTATTTTCTTTTTAATTTTTTGTCTGTCTACTTTTACCTATTAATTTGGAAATAATCATATATTCAAAGAAAGTTGTGAAGCTAGTACAGAGAAGACCCTTGTACTGCTCATCTGGTTTCCCCCAGTTGTTATGTCTCACACAGTTGTGATATCAAAACTAAAAATTTGACACTGGCAAAATGTACATTCTATGCCATCTTATCATATGTATAGATTTGTGTAACCAGCATCACAATCTACATACAGAATTGTCCCATACCCCACAAATGTCCCTCGTGGTATTCTTTTATAATTGAACTTAGACTTCTCCCCAGCAGATCACTTCTAATACTGGCAAACCCTAATGTTTTTTCAATTTCTATAATTTTGTCATTTGAAGAATGTGATGTAAGTGAAATAATATATAATGATACCTTTTGAGACTGGCTTTTTTTCACTCAGCCTAATACTTCTAAGATCCAATGAAGTTTTTGCATGTATCCATTACATTTTATTTATGAGTAGCAGTTCATGATATGGATGCACCAGGGTAATTTTTAATCGTTTTCACCTATGGAGGAAAATTTTGGTGGTTTCCACTTTCTGACTGTTGAAAATAAGTGGCTATCAACAATTACGTACACCTATTTGTGTGGACATAGGTTTTCATTTCTCTGGGATGAAAGCCTAGGAGGGAAATTGCTGGATTGTGTGAATGGGTGTGTTTAGCTTCTTAAGAAACTGCCAAAATGTTTTCAAGAGTGACTGTGACATTTAACTTGCATCTCACCAGTAATAAATGAGATGTAGTTTCTCTGCATTAGAAACACCATTAAATATTTTCTAGTTTTTTTTTAAAGCTGTTTTAATTGGTTTGTAGTGATATCTCATCATAGTCTTAATTTGGATTTCCTTGATGGCTAATGATATTGAAAAGCTTATTATGTGCCTACAAGCCGTTATATGTACAGTACTTTCAGAAAAATATCTGTTTATGTATTTTGCCCATTTTCTACTTGGATTCGATCTTTGAGTTTTGAGAGTTTATTATATATTCTAGATATAATTTCTATTGTCAGATTTATGGTTTGCAAATATTTTGTTCCAGGTCATACCTTGTTTTTTCTTCCTCTTAGCATGATCTTTTGCAGAGAAAAAAATTCATCTTGATGAAGTCCTGTTATCAGTTATTTTATTTTATTGATAATGCTTTTGGTGTCCTATTTCATCTAGTGCCATACCTTCGCCAAGATCTAGATTCTAAAGATTTTCCACACTTTTAAATCTTCATTATTTCAGATTTTGTATTTAATTCTATGACCTGCTTTGAGTAAATTTTTAAATAAGTTATGATGAGGCAAGCTTATTTTTTATTTTTATTTTTTGCTCATAGATGTCTACTTTCAACATTATTTGTTAAATAAAGCTATTGCCCCTCCATTGAACTGCTTTTTCACATTTGTCAAAAAAAACATGTGGCTAGACTCCTGCAAGAGCATTACTGAACTTTCTATTCTATTAATCTATGTCTTCTCCTCTACCAATGTCATGCAATCTTTGATTACTGTAGCTATATAATGAGTCTAATAATTTTATAGTGATTATATCTTTAAAAATTATTCTAGCAATTAGTTTCTTTACTTTTTCATATATTCTTTGAGAAGAATCTTCCTTATATCTAAAAAACCTTGTTGAAATTTTGATAAGAAATTTTCTTAATCTAACTGTAAGAAAAATTGTCATCTTTATCATGTTGAGTCTTCTGATTCACGATCAAGGCATGTCTCTCATTAATTTAGATATGGTTTGATTTCTTTCATCAGTGTTTCATAGTTTTCAGTAAAAATAACCTAGACATTTAAAAGTTATACGTATTTCATTTTTTAAATAACTAAATAATATTGTAGTGTTGATTTTGTTGTCTACATGTTCATTGCTAGAATATAGAAATGCAAAAATTTTTGTATGTTGATCTTGTACCTTGTGACCTTGCTGAATGCACTAATTAGCTTTACGAAATTTTTGTAGATACTTTGGGATTTTCTACATGGATATTGATATGGTTTGGTTGTGTTCCCACTCAAATCTAATCTTGAATTCCCACATGTTGTGGGAGGGACCTGGTGGGAGGTAATTGAATCATGAGGGCAGGTCTTTCCCATGCTGTTCTCATGATGGTAAATAAGTCACCCAAGATCTGATGCCTCTATAAGGAGGAATTTCCCTGCACAAGCTCTTTCTTTGCCTGCTGCCATCCATGTAAGACATGACTTGTTCCTCCTTGCCTTCCACCGTAATTGTGAGGCCTCTTCAGCCATGTGGAACTGGAAGTCAATTAAACCTCTTTTTCTTCCCAGTCTTGGGTGTGTCTTTATCAGCAGTGTGAAAATAGACTAACACAGACATTTGTGACATCTGCACAAAACAGCAGTCTTATTTCTTCTTTTTGAAACTGTATGCTTTAAATTTTTTTCTTGCCTTGTTTTCCTGTCTAGAACCACTTGTATCAAATAGAATTAGTGGTGAAAGTGAGCATCCTTGCTTTGTTTCCCATATTAGAGGAAAGTCATTCAGTCTTTCACCATTAAATATGATGTCAGCTTCAATTTTTATGTAGATATTCTTTACCAATCCAGGGAAGTTCCCACATATTTATTATTGTTCTGATTTTTTATAATCAAGAATGGATGTTGAATTTTGTCAGAGGTTTGTTCTTTATCTATTGATATGATCATGTGATTTTTTTAAAATTAGCTTGCTAATTTCATAAATTAACTACTTTTCAAATGTGCAATCAGCCTTGCATCCCCAAAATAAACCTAATTTAGTCATAGTGTATATAGATATTTTTGTGTACTAAGTACTATTTGCTAATATTTGGTATAGAATTTTTGCATGTATATTTGTGAGAGATATTGGTGTGTAGTTTTTGGATGTGTGTGTATGTCTGTGTGTGTGTTTTATCTAGTTTTAAAGTCAGGTTAATACTGACTTTAAAGAATTATTTGGGAAGTATTTACTTCTTTTCTGTAAAAAAAAGGGTATAGAATTTGTTTTAATTCCTTTTTAAGTGTTTCTTAGAATTCTTCAGTGAATATCAGGGCTGGAAGATTTCTTGTTGGGTTGTTTTAAAAATTATGAATTCATGTCTTAATAGTTGCAAGGCTATTAAATTATGTATTTTATACTGAAAGAATTGTTTTAGTATGTACTTTTAAAAGAATTGGTTCATAGAGTCCAAATTGTTCAGTTCAGATATGTAGAGCTACTTCTATTATTCCCTTACTATCCTTTTGATTTCTGCAGTGTCTGTAGTTATATGAACTATTGTATTTCTTATATTAGCAATTTGTCTTTACTCTTGAATTTTCTCTTTTGTGAGACTTTCTAAAGGTTTATCAATTTTATCAGTCTTTTCAAAGAACTTTTCCTTTGAATTTAAATAATTATTTCTCCTTATTTATTTATAGCGGTTTTCATTTACATAGAACCCTCAAATGTATCTACACTATGTAAACCACACTGTAATGCCATACTAGCAACACTATTTTGTGAGACTGGATGAATACCTCTAGTACCATAAGTAATTATTATCCTGTGTAATGCATCTCAGCCAGATGCATTATACCACATTCTATGTCATATTAATGAGGGTCTACATTTTTATTAATTATTCTGCCACATTTTAAGTCACAGTAAAAAGAAAATATTATATCAATAAATGAGGCTTTATTCACACAGCAGAAAATATGATTTTATGAAACAATTTATATGCAACTCTCTCGTTATATTTAACCAATGTTTTAATTTACAAAACTACAAAGTACCTTTGTCTTTTCACTATGGCTTTTTGTAAAGATTTCAAGTATTTCTGATGAACAGTAATTTTTTCAGTGTCTACTTAATGTCATTTTCAACATAGTTTTAGGGACATATTAGTGTGTAAAATAGTATTTTTAGAATTATTATTAATAATTACTATTATTCAAGCTAATTACCATTACTATTAATAATGGTAATCATGCTGGTGTCATATTTAGATTGCAACTGACAACTGAATTTAAGTGAGAAAAATATTCATAAATATATTTTTAAATTAACATTACCTCATTTTCTGTAACAACAAAATATGGATATTTAAAAATGTATATTGATTTATTTGTTCATTTATATTCTGTGTCTTTTGTGATAAAAATAACTCATTTAATTTTTTTCAGAAAAAAAGACTGGCAACTTTGTGTGCTGGTTTGTTTTTATATGAATTAAAACCATTGAGTCATAAACTCGTGACAAACTGCACTTACAATAGAATGATGCCAGCAAGATCTGCTATAATTTTTAAATAACAATAATGACAAAGTAAAATAATAGTTTTCATGTTCATCTTGAGTTTAAAAGAATCTTTAACTTTCAGCACTAAATGATGAAGACTCATTATTTTCAATGAGTTAAATTAATAAGAAAAGAAATCTTGTAGCAATCACATTGTAAAACTTTTAGATTTTTGTCTCTGTGTAATAAGCTTTAAGTTTCACAAGAAATACTTATATCTAGTTAGCAGGTTGTAATCTTATTGACTAATAATAGCCATTAGTACTTTCTTTAAATAAAAAAAAAAATTCTCCCTAGAGTAAATTATCATTGCCCACCTTCTGTAACAATTTAGAACACCATTACTATTTCTTTCAAGCTACACAGTGGAATAGAAATGTTTAAACAGCTAGTTGATTCAGTCAAAGCTTTTCCCATTGACATTGTTTAAGAATTTTTTGTTTGTTTTAGTTGAGAACGAGAAATTTTTCAGATGGATTTGCACTGTACTTCTAGATATATGTTCAGTTCACTTTTTAGGTTGTATTTGGAAAAAGTAGCTTGGGGATCCTAAATAAACCCACGCTAATTTCCTGTCATATCATCTACAGTTAGAAATAGAACCAGTTCTTTCATTTTCATTATTATACTTGTCTTTTCTAATGTCATTTAAATAATTCAAAAATAATATCAAATGACAGAGATGACATGAACATGAAATTACAATTTGGAAATTACCGTTTGGTAATTTCATTGCCAAACTTGAAAACGATCCAGATGTCTTTCAAAAGGTGAATCTATAAACTGCTAAATACTATTCTTCAACAATAAATAATGTGTCACCAATAAACATTACAACATAGATGCATCTCCAGATAATTATGTTGAAGGACATAAGCTGGAAAAAACACTACTCTCTGAATTTATTTACATAAAACTCTAGAAAATGCAAACTAATCTTTATTGACAGAAAACTCATCAGTGATTACCTTGGTAAAAGAAACAGAAAGAAAAGGATGGGAGCAGTTATTACATAGGGACACAACCATTATCTTGATTATTATGACAATTTCATAGAAGTATATACACATCTCAATATCTATAAATTTGTACACAGTATGTGCAGTTGATTGTATGTTAATTATATCTTAGTAAAAGTGCTTTTAAAAAGATAATTGGCTATCTCAAGCAAATATAGTAACATTCTATTGTGAGGATTTATCATAAGTAGAAATAAAATGACAACAATAGCATAATGAGTAGGTGGTAAGAAACATTAACTATATTGTTGAAAGATTATTATACTATTTGGTATAATTTTTTTTGTAAGTAAACTCAACTCAAAGATGTATAACCTCTAGGGCAAATGTTAAAAATAAGATGGTTTATAACTAGAAGGTCAAAACAGAGAAAAAATGAAATAAAAAAATTGGTCTCTAATCTACAAGAATGCAAAAAGGGAGGAGAAAGGAGCAAACAAAGATGGGACAAACAAATGTTCATGATATGGTACTATTAGATCCAATCATATTAAGAAGTTGTTGCATACAACTTATATAAGTACGTAGATTTAATACCAACTATACTAATAACACATCAAGTGTGAATAATATGAAAACATTTCAAATGAATGGATTTTCAAATTCATAAATAAAGGATAACCCTATAGATAAAAATCTAGTTACATTGGAAGACAAAAGCTACTCTCTCATTTATTGATTAAAAAAATAAGAAAATCAGTTAGAATCTAGAAGACATGCAAAACAAATCAATCCTATTAACTTACTTGATTTTCATAAGATACTTCACCTACCAGCAAAATATAAAGTTTTTCCAAGTAATATGAAATATTAACAAGATAGACTGCATTCAGACAAATAAAATATACCTTAATAAGCTTAAAAGAACTAAATTATACAAGGTATGTTCTCCTGTTATAGCAGAATTAAACTAGAAATCAAAAAGTGTGCAATAGCTGAATTCTTCCAAACACTTAAAATTAAACAGCACACCTAAATAAAATATAAATCAAAGAAAAATTCCCCCAAAATTTTAAATTATTTTGAAATAAATAAAAATTAAATCATAGCCAAAATTTGTGAGATACAGAGATATCAGTGATTAGAAGAAAAAAAAAAGAAGAGGAAATTAAATCTAAAGCAAACAGCGATAAAGAGATGTGGACTAAAAAAGCAAAAATCAATAAAATTGAAAAAATAAAAGCAAATAAAATCATTAAAAATAAAAGTTGATATTTTAAAAGGATTAATAAAACTGATAAGTCTCTAAAGAAACTGAGTAAGAAAAAGTTACAAATTGACAAATCAAGAATGAAGAAAAAGGTTACTCCATATCCTACACGTATTAAAATTATAATAAGGAAATATTGTAGACAATTTATGCCAATAAATTTGATAAAACAGATGAAAGTTCAAATTCCATGAAAGATAAAAATACTAAAGCTCATTGAAGATAAAAATGTATGTCTTAAATAGCTTTATATCTATTAAAGAAAATGAATTAAACATTAAAACTTTGCAACACAGAAAACTCCAGGATTAGTTTCCTTCCCTGTCAAATTATACCAGACATTTAGGAAAGAAAGAACAGCCATAGCACACAAAATATTCAAGAAAAAAGAGAAGGATGAAACCCATTCAAGTTCTTTATAAGGGCAATACTATCCACTACCACAATCAGAGACAAAGACATCGGGAAAAAAAGAAAACTACAAACAAATAATCTCTCATAAATATTAGACAAAAATTTTTTACCAAAATATTATCATATTGAATTCAGAAACATAAAAAAAGATACTACTTAATGGCTAATTAGGTGTTATCCCCAACAAGATTGGTTCAAAATTCAAAATTAATCACTGCAATTTGATATATTAACAAAATTAAAAAGACATATTAAATTAGGGTCGACAAACTATTTCTGTAAAGGCAAGATAGTAATAGAAGATATTTTGGTTATGGGACCACATATACCTTGTTGCATATTCTTTTCTCCTCCTCCACTTCTTTCCTTTCTCAATATTCCTCTGTCTCTGTCTTGCTCTGTCTCTGTTTCTGTCTCTCTGTCTCTCTCTCTCTCTCTCTCATGTGCACACACCTTTAAAAATGAAAATCTCTCCTTAGCTTGGAGGTCATACTGAAAATAGGCCGCAGGCCTGATTTGTCCTACGAGCTGCCGGTCCTTAAGCTAAAGAGAATTTTTATAAATGCAAATTTAACATAAATTCAGGATAAAAACCTGCAAAAAACTAGAAATAAATATGTATCTTCTCAATACATTTAAAGTGACCTATATAAAACATAGAGGCACCATCATATGTAATGGTGAAAAACTAAATACTTTTTGTCTGATATCAGAAACAAAGTTAAGATGTTAACTCTCACCACACTTACTAAATAATTAACTACAATTTTAGTCTACACTGCTGGTGCATGTTTTCTTAACATATACCATGACCTTATTAATCAATTTGTTATTAATAAATAATTTATTAATAATACCTTAAGGCAAAGAAAATAAAAGGCATACAGATTGGAGAGCAAGTCCTTGTGAATGTCATGTTCATCTAAATAGACAAATATTCTGCTACACATTCTAATGGGAGTCATGAATAAATTTAGCAAGGCTCAAGGCTGCTAGATACATTTAGGACTTAGGACTCCAGTTTTCTTTTTTTTTTTTCTTCTTTTTTTAGACGGAGTCTTGCTCTTGTCACCCAGGCTGAAGTGTAGTGGCATGATCTCAGCTCACTGCAACCTCTGCCTCCTGGGTTCAAGTGATTCTCCTGCCTCAGCATCCTGAGTAGCTGGGATTACAAGGACCCGCCGCCATGCCCGGCTAATTTTTGTACTTTTAGTAGAGACGGGGTTTCGCCATGTTGGCCAGACTGGTCTCGAACTCCTGACCTCAGGTGATTCACTGAAAAAAAATACCTTTGATAATAGAAGCAAAATATGTAAAACCATTAGAGCTGTATCTGATGAAATAATTTCAAGATAAAGGCTTCAATTAATGGGTGTATATCCTAGATTTATGGATGAGTAGACTAAACATTTTCAAGATGCCAGTTTTCTATGTATTATTCTATCAGTCAAATGCAATTCAACTCATACTGTGGTCTCTTTATACCTATTTGGCCTCACACCCATCTTGGCCATGAACTTATATTTTAGTCAGACATCCTTTTTTCAGTACCACAAAAATGACTGTTCCTTACACCCTTATGTTTTTCCACCTCTGTATTCCACCTTCTTGCCCGTTAACTCCTTCTCATCCTCAGATCCCTACTAAAATCTCATTTTCTCATTGAAGCCTTCACTAACCTTCAGACCAAGCCATGTACCCTCTTACAGACTCTCATGAAAACTTGCATATTTTCTTCACAGCACTTCTAATTCTTATTTCACATTTAAAGTAATATGCCTCTTTCCCCCTAAACTGTAAGTTTCCTTACAATAAAAATTATCTTATTTGTTGTTATATTTTTCTTCTCATATAGCACATTGTCTTGTCCAATGTAGAGACTCAGATTTGTTGAAGCAAGGGAAGAATTGAGAAGACAACATTCGCCCTACATTGGACATATTCGTTTGGTGCAAAAGTAATTGCAGTTTTCACCATTAAAAGTAATGGGAAAAACAGCGATTATTTTTGCACCAACCTGATAGATACATATACATATATACATGTGTATATATATACACACACGTGTATATATATACACACACACACGCAGAATCTAGGCATGCGTGCACGTGCACACACACAGAATCTAACATACAATCTGATTTATATCTCTGCTACAATATCAAGTTAAGCTGTCCTTGGTAGAAACCTTTTCTAAAGCTGCAATATTATGAATGGAGATTTTGTTCTACATCTTTTATTATAGCATAGTAATCAAACTAGATAAAGTAAATTTGAAAATAACATGAAATAATAATGAATGGTTTTCAAATATTTATTAACTATGAAAAGTAAAATACTCTAAAAATCTGTCAATATGTTCCCTTGGCAGAATTTGTATATTTCTGCTGCTGGCTTTACTGAGGCCACTTAAATGTGAACTCATTTGAATTTGGGGTAGAGATAGTATGTACTCTCCCTAATAAATTTTTATGTGATGAGAGTAAGCATTCTTGTGGATCCAAAGAACTTCTTAATTCGTTAAAATTTAAATATTACTTTTTAATGATTCAAACATTTTACAATGGCAAAATCCTGTGAGAAGATTATTCTATGGAAACAACTTCTAGGAGAATTGTATTCCATGTTACCACTACCTTTTTTTTCTTCTTTTAAACTTTATATTTTAATGTCAATATGATCCTCAATAGTAAGCTCCTGTGAATGAAATATCAACCACTTAACAATCTTTAAAGCAGAAAATTCTTGTTTCACTTGATATATTAAATACATGATTGATCAGTTTTGATGATGCCTGTTACAGGGTTCCAGACAAAGTATTTAAAATTCTCTTAAGACAACAAATTATATTCTACAAAATTATGTTAATGCTATTTCAATGACCACCTTTCAAGCTTTGTTACTAGTTATTTAAATCATTCATTGAATGTCTTTGACAGTACTTTGATCTTTTCACTGTTTTTCTTGTCAATTAATCCAGACAGCCTTTGAAAAGTTATTTGAAGGAAATAAGACCTTGGCAACAAAATGATGTTAATTCACATGTTGATGCTTTTAGGGCATATAAAAACAATCTCTAATTTAGGATATTGCTTGTGAATTCAGGATGATCTGAGATATAGGCCTAAATCAACTTTGTTTAAAAATGATGACTATTGTAATAAAATATGTTGCAATATCTGAAACAAAATAATGAAAAAAATCTTTATATCCTTACATTCATTATATTGGAACTAGTGACTTGATGTTTTTATTTTATTCAATTCTGGAATGCTCTAGAGTTCTCAGAACAGCAAAATAAATAATGCTTTCAACTTGTCTTTACTTTTTGTATCTGCCCTCAGTAATATAAATAACATAATCAATCAGTTCTTTTCTCTATTTAGAGAATCATTGACTTGATTTTTATTCCTTGCCTTGTAGCAACTTGCAAGAATTTGTTTACAAAATGATAATAAATATAATAAATATTAACACCTTATTTTGCTTTAGGCTGTATTCTATATTCTTTATACAAATTATGTAACTTAATCATCATAGTAAACACATTAGGTGTGCACTAATATTGTTCCATATTAAAGTTGATAAAACTAAGACAGAACTTTTTAGTAATTGCCAAAAGCCACAACTTCAATGTGGCAGATGAAGGGATCATATCACACGATGTGAATCCAGTAAGATGTAGCTATCTTATGCACTACACAATAATCCCTCTCTCTTCCCAAAATGTTACTATATTTATCATTTTAAACATCTATTGGGAATATATGGAAGCCTTCTTTCTAATTGATGATTTCAGTTAAATTTTTAAGAAAAAAATTGTGAAGCTGTATTGATATTTAAATATTCCCCTGAAATTAAGAATAAGGCATTCCTTTCTCTACTGGAGCTGAAACTTTCTGTGTTGTCTCATCAAACTCAATAGTTGAGAATTTAAAAACTAGATTATATCTTTGCTGAAAATTGTGCCTGCCTCAGAAAAATATGGAATTACTTTATCTAATCATGGTTTCATAACATCACATTTTTCCCTATTGCCAATCAACCCATCATAATTTTCATAACAGATTTCATTGAATTGACCTATTAATCTTCACTTTTTCTCACTTTTCAATTTTCCTTTGACTTCTATTTATTACTACTACTTCAATTACAATTACTTTTTTATTATACTTCAAGTTTTGGGGTACATGTGCAGAACATGCAGGTTTTTTACATAGGTATACAGGTGCCATAGTGGCTTGCCGCACCCATCAATCTGTCATCTACATTAGGTATTTCTCCTAATGCTATCCCTCCCCTAGCCACCCACCCCGCTACATGCCCTGATGTGTGATGTTCCCCTCCCTGTGTCCATGTGTTCTCATTGTTCAGCTCCCGCTCATGAGTGAGAACATGCGGTGTTTGGTTTTCTGTTGCTGTGTTACTTTGCTGAGAATGATGGTTTCCAGCTTCATCCATGTCCCTGCAAAGGACATGAACCCATCCTTTTTATGGCTGCATAGTATTCCATGGTGTATATGTGCCACATTTTCTTTATCTAGTTTATCAATTATAGGTATTTGTGTTGGTTCCAAGTCTTTGCTATTGTGAACAGTGCCACAATGAATATACAACACAATCAAATTAGTTTTAGCTAGTGTTACATACTGAAATGTGTTTCTCAAAATTCATATGTTGTAGCCCTAGCCACTAATGTTAAGGTATTTTGAGATAGGACCTTTAGGGAAGTAATTAAGCTTAAATCAGGTCATAAGGTTGGGGCCCTAATCCTATGGATTTGGTGTCTTTATAAAAGGAGGAGGATTTCCAAAGAGCTGTTTCTCTCTCTGACCATGTGGAAACATAGCAAAAAGGAGGCTTCTTGCAACTAGGAAAAGAGCCCTGACATGAAATAGATTTCTAGCCTCCAGAACCATGAGAAAATGAATGTCTGTTGTCTAAGCCACCCAGTCTGTGGTATTTTTTTATGGTGGCCCAAGCAGGCCAATACAATGAGGAAGGTAAAAGTGGTTCAGTGTTAGAAAATATATACAAAGAAATAACCACATTAATAGAACAACTAAAAATCTATTATGATCAATTAATAAAGAACCAAAAGCATCTAACAGATTGTAACGTATTTAGATAATCAATGTTAGAAAACTAGGAATAAAGAAATTTATTTGATGTGTTAAAATGTTAAATACCAAAAGCCTTTAGCAAAGGTATCCTTAACAGATAAAAAATAAAATGATGTCCTGAAGTTTCGGAAACAGACTTGCATAACACCATAATTGCTACTGCTTAACGAAAGAGTGACGGTCTTAGACAATGCAATATGTCAAAACCAAACAAACAAACAAAATAACAACTATAAAAACAAACTTGTGTGGGCTTTATAAAATCTGAATAAAGGACATAAAATTCTCAATTTTGAAAGATGACATTATCCTCTACTTTCAAAAGCCAAGAGAATCATTAAGTTGTTAATCATATAACTTAGCAAGGTTGACTGAAACCAGATCAAGTTATAAAATGCAATAGCATTTCTCTAAAAATAAGTGAATGTAATTCATGGTGTGATGAGTATCGTGCAGCAACTAGTTTACAATAAAACATATTAAGAATAGCAAAACATTCACAATAGCATCCAAATAATAAAATCTCTAATAATTAATTTAATACTTCACAAGTTCCCAAAGGATAAAAATTTACAGATTGAGAAAATAAAATAGAAACTATGATAAATTTGTAAGTACTCTTGGATGAAGTGACTTAATATTAGATATATGCTTGTTCTCTCCAAACAAATTTATTAGATAACAAAATAAGAAAATATTTCATGTGGAAATCGAAAACCTATTTCTAAAATACTTATGAAAGAAAAAAGTTGTATATATCACAGTATAGACTATTCCATTGAAATACACCACACCTCCAATCCCAATACTTTTCAAGATACACTTCTCCATGTCTGAGCTTCTTTAGAATAGGACTCTTTTTAGAAATTATCTTACTTAACTTAGATGGTATATAAGGCACCACCACTTTAAATTTTTCGAAGGTTTTATCATAAGGTCTTATAGACACAGGCTTACCATGATTTTTGTTCCTAGGCCTTGTTTCATTTTGAGCATCTTTTACTGACTGGTAAAATTGGAGATGAGAAACACTTATTTTTCAGTGCAGCCATTGCAGAATCTTCAGTATTCTCTCCAAAATCTGCTTACAGACCAAAAAGTTCTTTACCTAGCTCAGCATTATGATTTTCCCTTTAGAGGGCATTTGGAAATGTCTGGAGTTAGGTTTGATGCCATGCCTGGGGGTAATGGTGCAACTGGCATTTAGTGCTTAAGACCAGGAATTCTGTCAAACATGGACTATTCAACTCCTTCCCCCAATATAGACTTATCTAACCCCAAATTTCAATAGTGCTGAGTTCTAGAAACCCTAATTTTAACTCATCTTTCTTACCTTGTATCTGAACATAGGAAGCAGAATAAATCCAGCAGATATTTCAACGTTCTATATTGGCATCATCTTGCCGAATTCCCCAGGTCCATTAGGCGCATTTTCTAACTTCCAACTTACCGAAAATGTTAGATTTAATTGCTCTACTACTGTATGTCATGAATTGCCACATTTCAAGCCTATTTTAGCACTTTCCTTACCACATTTTCTTCTTCTGCCCACATTTTAGGCTTTTCTTTACAGCAGCACTTCAGGTTCACGTACCCATTTCTATACCATTTATCTGTCATTGCATTAAAACTAAAAAATTTTAACACTGCAAACAGTGTTAAAACTGTTTAACACTGCAAACTCTAAACATCAATCCTTATGCATTTCATAACAGAATTGAATTCAGTTGGACATGTCCTTTGGTAATCTCAGCTGGACTTGCTCAGTTATTTGTAGTGCCTTGTAGGTACATTAGTCTGCTGTGCCTCAGTGAGTTTAATTGCTCTCATTTGGACTGACTTTGGTGGCTAGACCTTGTATCTCATAATCCAGAAGGCTAGTCCAGGCTTGCTCATGGGGCGCTGTCCAAAATATCAGTGGAGCAAGCTCTAATATGCAAGTATTTGAAAAGTCCCAGCCTGCAACACATTTACTATTGTCTCTGGCCAAAGCAAGTCGAGGCTAGTTCAGATACAAGAGTTAGACAATGAGACCATTTATTTGCCAAGTATGGAAAAAGTTAAGAGGAAGAATTTGTGGCCATTTTGCAACTCATCACACTACTATCCAGAAATGTATTTTATCCATATGTTTGTTAAAGATATATCACACATATAGTACATATATGAGAATATTTAATGAAACATAATTATGGAAACGAAGAAGAATTTGAAGTATTTGTCTTTAAGGAAGCAGCTGTATAAAATATTTGAAATGCATGTCATGAAATGCTGAGTATAATGCAGTTGCTAGGAGTAGTGGATGAAATACACACATAACAATATTGAGTTTTTAAAACAGTGTTGAGTGAAAAACAAAAGACAAAAACAGAAAGAAATGTATATCATGATAGCATTTACACATATTCAAAATAGATACATATGTTATGCGAAGACCTACAAGCAAAATAGGACACATTAAACTCAGAAGAATGTTTGCCCCTGGTTTGGACTGAATGAGGGTGGGAGTATGATGAGAGAGGAAGACAGGTTTTGTGGAGCTCATATGTAAGGCCCTGCTGTAATGAATAATTTAGTCCCTTCCTGCCCCAATAGCTATGCTCCAGATCCATTTCTTTCTGTGCTTGCATTTTAATCAAACTGGTTTTCAGAAGTGCCATGTCCTTTATACCCCTGGGTATTTTCACTTGATATCTCTCTGTGTTAAAAACTTTCTGTATTTTTGCATAGTTAAATGCTACTTATTCTTCAGATTTTAATACAAATGCCACTTTCTTTGTGAGGGTTTTTTTTTTTTTTTTTTTTTGAGACGGAGTCTCACTCTGTTGCCCAGGCTGGAGTGCAATGGTGCGATCTCTGCTCACTGCAAGCTCTGCCTCCTGGATTCATGACATTCTCCTGCCTCAGCCTCCCCAGCAGCTGGGACTACAGGTGCCTGCCACCACACCCGGCTAATTTTTGTATTTTTACTAGAGATGGAGTTTCACCATGTTAGCCAGGATGGTCTCGATCTCCTGACCTTGTGATCCGCCGGCCTTGGCCTCCCAAAGTGCTGGGATTAAAGGTGTGAGCCACTGCGCCTGGCCCTTTGTGAGGCTTTTCTAAGCCCTCAGATGAGGCCAAGTGTCCTCTTGCAGATGCACATAAGACTATGAATAATTCCTTCAGAGCACTTGTCAGTTATTTTACATATAAATTAATATCTCTCCCCTGAGATTAAATTTTATTATAATAAGGACTATCTTATTTGTCACCATGTTTTTCTCTTATGCAGTACATTGTATGATGCAATGTAGAGACTTAAAAAATAGTTGCTGAAATAAGGAAATAGTAGAGAAGTTCAAAGTCACTCAGTATTGGATGGCGACACACACACACTGTCACAGACACCTCCATATATGTACATAAGCACAGATATGCATATATGAAGAGTTTGGATTATAATCCCAGAAAACACAATCCAAAATGCCATAATCCCCAATGCTGAAATGATGAAAGATCAAAATTCCTAAAGATCAAAATCTCTAAAGTCTAAATCCCTAAAATAAAAAGTCCCTAAACGCTAAAATCCTGAAAAATCACAATCACAGAATAATTGCATCATGTTAGGTGTGTCACCCGTTACTTTATTTATTTGGAGATTAAATGTGGTTTAAGATGTGTATTAATGCCACATTGACAAGGGGTGAACTTGTGAACTTAATTTTGTGTATCAACCTGACTGAATAAAAGAATAGCAACTTGGTAAAGTATTATTTTGGGTATGCCTGTGAGGGTGCTTCCAAAAGCAAATAGTGTGAGTCTGAGTGGATTAGGTCAGGAAAATCTGCCATCTAATCAACTAGGGACAAAGAGAGAACAAATTCAGGTTAATTGGTGTCTGAGATATGGGACAAACTTCTCCTGCTGCCTTGGATATCAGAACCCAGGCTTTCCGGCTTTGGACTCCAGGTCTTACATCAGTAATCCTTCAGGTCCTGAGGCTTTCAGTCTGAGCCACACTACCAGCATCCCAGGGCCTGCAGCTTGCAGATTGCCTGTCCTGGAACTTCTTGGCCACCATAATTGTGTGAGTCAATTACCATAATGAATCCATGTTTATATATATATATATATATATATATATATATATATATATATTTATTTATATATATATCCTATTGGTTCTGTCTCTCTGGAGAATCCTAATAAGAATTTTGCACTGGGAAAGCCAAATATCATTATTTTTTACTATGTTTCTTAAAACACAGTGAAAGGATCTGTGAAACTGTTCCCTCACACACACACACACAAAAAAAAAAGCTGTGACAAGTTCAGTGTATGAGGCTACTTAATGGTAAAAGATAAAAGTTTAAAAGCTAATTATTATTGGTGCTGAGAAAGCAGAAAAACACTTAATTGCCACAGTCAAACAATAACTAGACTTTCAAATGGATAGCATATACTTAAAAGATGTGTAGACCACAACCACTCTCCAAATATAAGTGTAGGGAGTGTTTGTAAATCATGGAAGAATTAAAAATGGCAACAATACAAGAAATCTCACCTCCAAAATTTTGCAGTCATGTATAATGTCTTCCCCTTCACACATAGTGCCATGCTTGCCTTCAAAAAAAACACCCTTCATTAGAGAATAAAAAGAATTCAACAAGTTCAGTGATCTTCTGAACCAAAGGCACTTGCTCATATTGTGGTCCCCCTTGTATTACAAAACACATTGACTGGTGAACTATTCTTGGTTAAGCATGGATTTGACTGTCAAAGAAGATATACTTCTTACATTTACCACTAATTCTATCATAGAAAAACTAGCACATACTTCACTTTGACTAATGGATGGCACTTTTAAAACTGTCCCCAGTATTTTTTTAATCAACTATATACAATTCATGCCGCCATTGGATTAAAAAATTCTAGAACTTATCCACTTGTTTATGTATGAGTGACTGAAAAAAAGTGAATTACTTTATACAAACTTATTTAAAGATTTGGTCGATTTTACAGAAGAGAATGGATTTTAATTGAATCCTTAAACTATAATGATGGATTGGGAATTAGGTGTGATCAAGGCTTCTAAAAGTGAATGTCAAGGTGTTACCAATAAAGTTTGTTTTCCCATTAAGCCCACTGTGTTTGATGGAAAATCATGATCAGCGGATTGGCAGCATGATATGGCAATAACAAAACCTTCGATTTAAAAACATATGATTTGCCTGAAGTGGCATTCTTTCTAGCTGTTGACATTGCAGGAGCTTTTAATGAATTAAAGCTGCATTTGCCAGAAGAAGCCATTGAAGTTACTGGTTTGCTGATAGTTATGTGCCTGATACGAAGATACTTATGCAACAGTGTTGCTGTTCAATCACCTGTATTGTTTCCACCTAATTTGCGATATGTATGTGAGTGCGTGTGGTCTGTATAAGAGTGTGTATAGATTTCTGCATACCAAAAACAACATAGAAGCATGGCTCAGAAGATGAAAATATTTAATATGGAATGCTCATGTTATTGTATATCTAATCATTGAAGGATTTCAAAAAGGGCAGTCTCCTAGAAAATAAATGTCAAGGCATTCTCTGAGGAACACAATGTCCTAAAAAATAAAAGAAAACTAAACTGAAAACAAGCAAACAAAAACCAAAACAAACAAACAAACAAAAGGCAACTATTCATCATGATGTAATACTTCAACATACAATGATTACAAAATTCAGCTGGCTCTTCTGGACAATCTTCAAGCAATTGCCCATAATCTATCATTACAATACACTTTTTCATAGGTCAAATTTTCTGTTTTAGTTTTTTTCTTTTCTTCTTTTAGTATTTTAAATTGTCAGAATTATTTTTTACAATTTGCTATACTACGTATTTATCTTTTGCATCATTTTCAATACTGGAGCTCTAAATTGTGTAGATACTTTAGAGAGTTCTAATTCATTTTATGCATTTTTTGCTAATTTGTCTATACAAAAGTGTATTAGTGTATATTGACTATGCATGAGCATTGCTAGTGTACATAAAAATGTTGAAACTTCCTCAGTAAATGAAAAGATGCCCTTTTTGCACATCTGTATTTTTGAAATAAAATTTCTCAAGACTTCTGCTCTTTAAGCAACTGCATATGAAATGATGACCCATCATGATTTTTGATTAATCTCCTAAAAAGAATGAGATTGTCACAATATTTCAAAGGACAACAGTTAGAAAGCTGGATGCACAAAAATATCAACTGTAGTAATACACATTTATTCATTTCCCCCTTTGACCTACTTCTTTACACACAGGGTATCTGCTCATATCTGTTGGATGTATGAAACCATCATTAGTATAGCTGAATGTTTATGCTTACAAAAATCTGTATGTTATTACTGCCTATTTTATTGTGTGAAGTGGTCTATGAAGTGATCTATCATGTTCTCTATGTTTGTCAAATCTCCTTTTAAGAAATGTGAATAAATATCTTCTAAAGAGTTCTAAGGCCGGGCGCGGTGGCTCAAGCCTGTAATCCCAGCACTTTGGGAGGCCGAGGCGGGTGGATCACGAGGTCAGGAGATCGAGACCATCCTAGCTAACACGGTGAAACCCCGTCTCTACTAAAAGTACAAAAAAATTAGCCGGCATGGTGGTGGGTGCCTGTAGTCCCAGCTACTCGGGAGGCTGAGGCAGGAGAGTGGTGTAAACCCGGGAGGCGGAGCTTGTAATGAGCGGAAATTGCACCACTGCACTCCAGCCTGGGCGACAGAGCAAGACTCCGTCTCAAAAAAAAAAAAAAATAATAATAATAATAAGAGTTTTAATTATTTTTTCCAGAATTTTATTTTGGGAATCAAAAATCTTTTGGGATTTCAACATTTGGTATTATGGCATTCAAGATTATGTTTTTTTGGAATTATGATGAGTCCCAAATGAACACACATATATATGACATCTGAAATAAACCAGATTGATATTTGTCCAAACGTTTCATGCTAAGCTTTCCTCAATAGAATACTCTTCCTTTTGCCTAGTTAACTCTTATTAATGTTTTTGTCTTTCCTGGATTTATTGCTTAAATATTATTCTCTCAGGAAAATAAATTAGATCCTCAGACTCACATGTTATATACTACATTTTTTCTTTTACCACATATTATAATGATAACTAAGTGTATTTTGATATGTACATGAAATATATATTTACTATAAAAATGAATAATATATATATAAATATATACACACACATACATGAAATTACACACACATACTAACACACACAAAGTATTGGTATTTGGAAGACTGCTAGCATTTGATTATTTGGTCATTTCATAATTTCCTGATCCTGGATTCTGTGGTAAATTTCAGCTTTCCATTGATTTTGGGAAGCTCGCAGTGATAAACTCTTATTTTCACAATTATAAAGCCTTACTCGTTGTTTTTAAGAAAAACGCGAGAGTCGTTTTAAATTTGAATATGAATACCTACAGATTGATTTTAAAAGATCTATCATATATTATTATTAGGCTTGTCAATGGAGAAAAATGATAAGGCAAGTCTCAACCATTTTAGGAAATTTATTTGCCAAAATTAAAGACACACACCCAGAAGACAGGTCTTTGCCTTTCTCTGAAGATGATTTTGGGGGCTCAAAATTTAAAGGGTAAATGGCGGGATATTGAGAAGTACACAATTTGCATGTAACAGGGAGTTAGGGAAAAATAGTCATTCATGCCTTTGTCTGGCTCAGTGAATCTACAATTTTTTTTTTTCATAAGATGACCTAGACAAATGGGGCAGAGGAAAAATGCAGAGAATCTGCATTTTACATATGATAACACAGGCAAAAATGGGGTAAGGGAATAATCAGATATGCATTTGTGTCTGGTGGGCTGTGGGTAACTGCACCTGTAAAGATAAGCTATCAATTTGCATTGCCATGGTGAAATTTTAACAGAAACACCTTAAAAGATCTTGCAGCTCATCAGGAATTTCCTTGTAGGCAAAATATAGGGGAGGCATGTAGCTTTTCATCTTGTAGCCATCTTACTTAGGAGCCAAATGGGGGAGGCAGGTTTGCGTGACCAAGTTCCCAGCTTGACTTTTCCCTTTGGCTACATGAGTTTGGGGATCCCAAAATTTAATTCCCTTTCATTGGCTCCATTTTCATTCTGCCTGAAAAATGCAAGAAAGAGAAATAATTTCCCCAAAAGGAGATTGAAAAAAATACTTTTGTAATGATGGGGTTATTTGAGAAATGTACTGTTCTCTATTCTTTGACGTGGGTCACAACGCTTATTCTAGCTGTGATTTTTGGACCATTAAGAAAGAGGATTATGCAGAAACTGGCAGAAAATGCTAGGCCACACTTACTGTGAAAGATTTTAGATAGTGCTCTGATGTTTTCCTGTCCGTCCCCCTGAGGAACTTCTGTGGGGTTGAGGCAATGACTGGAGCACCTGTGGCCACACAGTCTGATGGCATCAGCTGTGGGGAATGAGGACCACATTCTCTGCTTTTCAGAAGAATTCATTATTAGAACTTAGAGTCTTAGGGATATCTGGGGGTTAAACTCCTAAGGAAGTTAAACCTATAATCAAAGAAGATTAGATTTCTCATAATTTGTAGAAAGGAAACTCAGAGTTAAAACATGAATAATAGGCAGAGGTGAGGGATGAAATAGACCAAGCTAGTTATTTCTTTAATATCTGAGTGCCCAGCTAGGTTTCAAACTCTGTTAGGAAATATCTTGTTGAGGGCTACATCCCAGCAACTACATAAAGCCTCATGCAGAGAAATGATTCAGAGCCTATGTCATCCTCACAACAAACTATTTAAATCTCTTTTGTAATCTATATTTTTACATATGGTATGGCATTGATTTAAGCTGAAATGAATAGTGTGGACAGTGTTCTTGAGTTAGAATGAATAAAAATATTCCCCTAAATTAAACAATGTACATACACAGATAAACATGGGAATGGACAAAAGCGAAAGAATTGACTTTGAAAAGTGATCTTAGCATGGACAGAGCTAGAGTGCAAACTGTCAAACTTATCTGACAGAATCTGACTTCCCAGTGAGTATAACAAGACCACCATGTTACTTATAAGGCAGGTTGATGATAGCACCCTGGAACTATGGTATCTGATTTGATCCAGTATCTCCATACATACACATAATCATAGGCTAGTATTTAGCTATAACTTTTTGATACATTTCAGTTCCATGTCACATCAACCATTTCCTAGCCTTGATGGCTAATTCAATGTTCCTTTAACACATTTTTCTGGATGGAGTTTTATGCTTATGTAGGCTTGAGGATTCAATGTAAATGGTTGGCACATGTTATACGAGAGGACGAAAAGATATATTAAATTCATCTATGTTTGGATGTATATTAGAGATAGCAAATGATATTATAGAATGTTTAGTTTTACAACTCTACTTTATCTGAGTCATAAACTTCTTAAAATTTCTTTTTCAGTTTAAGCTTTCTATGCTTTTATTCAACCCCAAGATAATTTTCTTCTAAGATTAAGGAAAATCTATTCAGCTGTTTTAAAGCTAAGTGAATGTGAAAATTACATATTTTTTATCATCATAGGAAAGGCAATCTATTGTAATAGCTTTCTCAGTAAAACGCAAAAAGGCTTCTTTTGAAAAAGTTCCAATCCAAATACAAATGATACCAGATAGAATAAAAACTATCTTGTCAGTATGTGAGGAAGAAAAAAAGTTCCCAAATTTCTACTTAAAAAAAATCCCATTGTCTGAACTCCCGATACTTAGAAATACAAATCAGTGAGTGACTTTTTTAAATAAGCATTACTAGAGGTGCTATTGTCTCCACAAATAAATATGTACAGGAGCCTTTTGCCATTATGTTAGAAGGACTGATAGTAAGTGCATCAAGAAAATGTGAAAGATGAAAATGAATAGTGTAATGCTTATTAAAATTTTAAAGATAAAAAGGATCTTGGTGTTCATGGGGTTTAGTTGTCCTGAAAATTGATTATAATGTGAAGTACTTGGAGGTCATGGTGTTCTTTACAGAACTCTTAATTACTGATGTAGTGCACCAGTGTGACAATCATGATTGTAATTTTTGCAAGTGAGATAACATGATATTTACTGATATTAAATAAGGAAGCAGAACTGAATATTAATGTTTTAAGACAAAAATATTATGGGCAAGAAACAAAATTACAACCATTTTATTTATTAGCTTAATCTTTTTCTTTAAAAAAAAACATTTAAATCAAGTGTCTGAATACCTTAGTTAAACTCAGAAAATACAACTTTCATTGAAATTATGTTTAATGACTCTTATGTAGCTCAATTCTCGAATAGTTTTTAACACACAGGAGTGATTGTCCTTTTCATGGCCATTTACTTCCCTACTCTGTCTCTCAGAAACACCAGATAGATTATTGCAGATGTGACTAGACAGTGACAAGGAACTCACTTTTTATACAAAAGTTAGAGGCTGAAAAGTAAAAATTCAAGTATCCTCATTATTACTTCTACCCCCTTATTCTTGGACCCATTTATTTACATACCTGCATTGGTTTAAGAGCTGTCCACATCCTAAAGAGTTGTGACCACTCATCATGGGGTATCACTGAGCTGCTGGCATCTAACATGCACCTTTAAGAGGCCAGTTTATCACTGTCAGCTGGCAACTTCTGGAGTTACATGGTACAGTGGATCCCATGAAATAGGCCCATCTCTCCTCTACATCTTCTTTGCTGAAATCCTGGGTAGCAATTTTCAGGGGTTTTTTCTGTCCTTTTGATATAGGAAGGAGAGAGGGAAATACTGGGTAGAAGAGGGTGGTTCCCCGGCAAAGGCCCCATGCTCATGCCTGGAGACTGCGGTTCTAAATGGGAACTGGCATTTCTGTTTTCGTGCCCAAAATGTTGCCTTTTGGCTTGCCATGCCTCCCATCCTGTGCCTATATAAACCTGAGACCTTAGCAGGCACACACACAGGTGGCTGAACATCCAGAGGAGCAGAGGAACAGAACAGCAGAGAACAGCAGAGAGTGGTGGAGAGTGGCAGAAAGCAGCAGGGCAGCACGCCAGAGAAAAGGAGGGGTGTCTAGACACCCAGAGGAGTTCGGCTGGGGCAGTCGGTGAGGGGTTTGGCTGTTGGAAGTTCCAGCTCCAGGGGAGAATCACCTTCTTACTCCATCTCCCTGCTTCCAGCTCCCCATCTATCCTGCTGAAAGTCACCTCCACCATTCAGTAAAAACCTAGCATTCATCTTTGGAGTCCATGTGTAACTTGATTTTTCCTGGATGCTGGACAGAAGCTCAGGATCCAGAAAGCTGTCACACTGGCCCTCTGCCCTTGCAGAAAGGCAGAGGGTTAATTGAGCTGATTAATACTCAAGCCATCCTCAAACGGCAAAGCTAAAAGGGCACATTGTAACACGCGCCCACCTGGGCTCCTTCACCTGCCAGTCTGTGTGCTCCCCCTCTTGCAAGGCGTTTGAGCAGCCAGGCGACTCAACAGGCGAGCCACACCCTGTCACATTTCCTGCCGGGGGAGTCAGGGAACTCTCCCATTTTACTTTCTACTACCATAACTCGTATCTTAGAATCAAAGGATTAGTGTGGAGATTCTGGTGACTGTTAGGTATGTCTATATAAAACGCATGTTTGAAAACAGGAAAGTGGCATACAGGTAGATCGGCTGAGCATAGTGAACCTAATTCTATAAAATCATGTCTTACCATCACTCCTGACCGTCAGAGGACAACTGCAACTGAGCTCTCAGTCATGAAGCCATCTGGTTACCAGTTTTGATTTTTGTTGTTGTATAATTTTTATTTGTATTCTTTTTTGAAGGATTACTTTATAGACCTTTAGTGGAGTTCTAAGGATGCACCTTTACAATATAAAGATACCCTCTTGCTACTTACCCTTCATACTTTGCATTTCTTATTCTCCTCTTAATTACCAACTATATAAAACAACCTGTAAAAGTGGATATTATTCTCTGTAGAAAAGTTTGTGAAAATAAAATATTTGACTTCACATGTCTTGCCTTGAGATGCAGAACTAGAACAACACAATAAATAGAATAAGCTACTGCTATGGTTTCAATGCATATATTTTTCCAAAATTCTTAGATTGAAATCTAAGACTTAATGTGATAGTATTAAGCATTGGGGCCTTCTGTGAAGTGATTAAGTTAGGTAGGCTTTACCCTCATGAATGGATCAGTGACCTTATGAAAGAACTGGAGGGATTTAATTAGGTCATTTTGCCCTTTTGCCTTCCACCACATAAGGACACAGCAGGAAGGAACAGTATAAGAACTGTTGACAGTTCTGTTGACATCAACTTTGCCAGCCCCTTAATAGTGGACTGTCTATTTCCAGAACACAGAGAAAATTAATTTCTCTTACTTATAAATTACCTAGTCCGAGGTATTTTGTTACAGTAGCATGAACAGTCTAAGACAACTACTTAGCAATATTAGTATTGATTCTAAATGTCATAGAGAAGAGTTGCAGTGTTTATTCTTAATGAGATTAAAACCAACAACATGAATTAGCAAGATACTACATATTCATCATCACCATTCTCTCCTTCAGTTTTAAATCAGCTTTAGTAAAATATAATTTACAAACAAATCCTCCAACTTTCAATGTTTGATTTGATGAGCTGTGTGTATAATAATAGAAACACCAACACGAATATGATATAGAATATTTCCATTAACCCCCACATTTTTATGTGCTTTTTGACAATCAAGGTCACTTCTCATCTCTTACCCCCAACAACCACTTACTTGCTTTCTGGCACTACACTATTGACATATTTCAAACTTTATATAAATAGAATAAAGAATATATAGCAATAATAATTGGCTTCTTTCAAATGGGTTTTTAGAGTTTTCCATTTTTTATCTGTTATGAACAATCAACGATAAGCATTTGTAAATATGGCCACCTTTGCACACATATACTTGTCTTTCAGGGTACATATTCAGTAGAGGAATTGCAGCATAGATAAATTATTTTAATTTTAATATATCTTGACAAAAATGGCTTACAGATTTATGTTCCTAAAAGGTGATCTAAGAACAAAACTTTGTAGAAAAAGCAAATTTATAGCAGTGTCAGATAATTATTTTCTTACCCACTCAGGGAAACTTGATATTATCTGCCTTAGTTTGGGTCCTGCAAAAGCAAAGCCTGAATAAGAGATTAAAATGGTGACATTTTATTTGTTATGGATGAACCATGGGAAATTAGAATAACTAACTTATTTTATAAATAATAAAAGTGCCTGGGAAAGGGAGGCAGGTGCTGGGTGGAAACACAGAAGAGAACAGAGGCAAAGCAACACAACATCAGTCATTATCAGCCTGACCCCTCTTCACAACTAGCCTCTAAATAAATAAATATCTTTCAGCTGATAAACTTGGAAGGTTTGCACACATGAACTGCACCTTGTGATAGTGCCCAGAGGGGAGAACAAACAAATTTATCCATAGTTTTTTTGTTTTTTTTTTTCCTGTTTCTCTGCTTGCTAAGGTTCTCCCCACCAGGAGCTGATTCTCAGTAACTTACAGTTTGCGTTAGCCTGCTCCTTGGCAGGCACTCTGGAAGCAAAATCTCAGGGCCCTCACTGCAGCATTTTCTCTGAGTCTGAAAGCTGAAAGACTCAGCCAAGATTTGCTTAGTTTGGTATCCCAGTGGCTGCAAGATAAAAATTTTCCTTTGAGAATCATCAATAACCATTTATTGTCCTGAGAGAAAGAACGAGGTGGTGCAGGGAAAGTGAAAATGTGCCCAAGATGTATGTTCAATACATTAAATGGATGAAGACTTACACCTGCTGTTGGTTTAATTGATTGATAGGGAGGTTGAACATATTTTCACGTGTCTTATCGCCCCATGTATACATTTTTTTCTAGACTTTTATTTACTTGTGGAATATTTTTTCTTTATTTGTTGATTTTGTAATATAAATTTTGGCTGTTAATTTATTGTCTGCATATTTTAATATTTCCCTTTAGGTTATATTTGTCTGTTGGCTTGCTTATGTTTGAATTTCATTCATGATGTTTTGAATATTACAGAAGTTACAAATGTTCATTTAGACAAGTGTATCATTTATTTGCTGTTAGAAATTTATGAAAAATTATTTTCTGCTGTAACTCACTAAATTTTCTTCAGTGTTCTTACATATTTGTTGTTTAAGTGTTTATTATTTGCATTCTTTTTATGACAGCATATAACATAGGATATACGATTTATATTTTTTCTAAATAGAAAATCAGATCGCCCAACATCGGGTAATTTTAAACTGTTATTTTCCCATCCAATTGAGATGCCATATGTATCATGCACTAAAATTCCATTCTTGAATTCCTTTTTCATTTTATTGATCTATTTCCCCATTGCAGCTTCAAAATTAAGGCATTTCAATGACTACAATTTTTAAACTTGTTTTAATATTTGGGAAGACAATTACTTTTTGCTCTTCTTAAAAAATGTCTTACAACTTTTACTTGCCTTTCTAAGTGAATTTTAGGTTGAGCTTGGCAAGTTCCTTAAAAATCTGTTGCTGGAATATTTATCAGAAAGTATTGAATTTATAGAGTAATTTAAAGAAAATTTAAAAGCCTTTATAAATGTGATTTTTTTTATCTGGAGTCTCAGCATATAAAAAAGATAAAAGGGGAGACATTTGAGATTATTTGAAGGGTCAGACATACAAATGATCTATGAAGAACTTGTGGAACATAGTTCAAGAACCACTTTTAAAATTTCTTTCAGGAAAGAAATGGCATAATTTTTATTTTCTCATGGGTCAGAAATTACTGAGTAAAGATTTCCAAAGAGTGAAAGCCAGGGGAAATTCAGAACAGATGGAGGAAGGAGATGAATCATTCATTAGGAATTTGACTGACGTTTGGTGATATAGCTCTGGTCATTTGCTGAGTGGATGTCAAGATCCCTGTTCCAGTAATAGCCTAAGCATTTTCTGTCTGTGTTTAGGATGAAGACATACACATATCCCAAAAACTTGACAGTTTTTTTTTTTATAAATAATGTAATTAGATAAGCAATATTTTAGGAAACATGATTATTAAAAGTCAAACACCTATTATTAAATGTATTGCAACTATGTGTATTGTAATCACCTTGAGAAGTATTTGAAAATTATATAGAACATGGAATTCAATACCCCACAATGAACCTTACTGAATTCTCTGTGACAGACTGTGTAGAGTTTCAGAATCTCTGAGGAAAAAGGAAGGGTGATAAAATATTACAGACATGCTATCATACTTGGTCAGAACTTTTTAATACATAGGTAAAACTTGACTTTAACTTTGGTATTAGGTCTAAAACAAAGCTTTTTTTTTAAAGGGGGTAAAATTTAAGCTTTAAAAATACTGTGTTGAATGCCTTGCCTTATTACTCTTTTTCGTTTGATTCCCACACCTGAAACTTCTGTCTTGAGTTTGAATTCCATTAACATCTTCTTTAAGTACAAATAACTGGATTCTGTTGTTAGTGGTAAAATTGGAAATGTTGAAGGTGTTGTGGTATTATTGTTCTTTGTAATTATTTTAAGGAGCAGTTTGTATGATATTGTATGTAGAAGTTACAAATACACATAATTTGTTACTCATAACCATTAATCTGCAAATACTACCCAGTTGGACAAACCATGAAAAACATACCATATGTACTTTAACTTTAAACGTCAGTGTTTCTGAAACAGTTACTAACTTTACAATTATTTTCCAAGTTATCCTTCTTGATTGTTACCACCCCAGTTTTTTCTTTTTTTCTGCAACTTGGTGAGGCCTATTACTAAAATATTTATTACTAATAATTACTAAAATTTCTGTTTTTCTAATTGAACCTTGACTGATAAAGATGGCTCTAGGCCTTTCACAATCTTATCTCTACTTACTTTTCCAACTTCATACATATTACACTTATCTTGGTGGTTCTGTTTACACTTCTCTCTCTACCTATAATTGTGAAAATGCTCCTTTTACTTATATCTGCTTGCTGGAATTCCATACATCTTTCATGGCACCAATTTACACACCACTTTCATGAAGATTTCTAAACACTCCAGCCATTGACATTGTCTAAATATTGTCCATTTACAGTCTGCATTTGTAACTTGCTTCTGCTTTCATTGCAGTATATCTAGAAACAGGTAAGACATTACCTGTTCAATAATTTAATTCCTTAATAATTAAATATTTGAAACAACAGCATTGGTATATTTTTTGTAAGCACAGTTTGTTTAATTGTGATTATTCCACTAATATTCAGCACAATACAGGCCTAATAGCTAATTTTACATCTCTTTATCATTATATCATAAAGAAGAATACTTTTTATTTCAAATTTATTTATTAAATTTATTACAAGTTTATTACAAATAATTTATAAGTTTCTGAATTTAATGATAATTTTTTTCTTTTGAATATATTACTATATATGCACATACTTTGTGGAATCCACTGTTTTGTATTATTTTGTTATCGTCATTTCTGTCTGTGACTCTCCAGGAATCCCTGCGACTCTTATAAGTAAAGTTTTACTCTCACTCCACGAGAAATTTGACTATACTCTTAATGTGGCAATATTTCTCTGCTCTAAATTGATCTTCAGTGTGTTATTCTTGTTAAAACTAGGAAAAGTAGGTCATGTTATGAATATCAAAGCAGACATCCTTTAAGGAAGACTAAAGAAAAGAACAAAAAGCATAAAGGTCATATTTTAAATTATTTAATTCAACTGATGGCTATTGTATCTGACAGCACTTATTTTCTACTGGTGGTATGAAAATTACTGAAATAAACAACTACTACAAATAAAATTAAATAAAATGTTTTATATAACTACTACATTCTCTCAACAAGTTTTACTGATATTGAAAAAAATTTACACAAGACTTTAAGGCAAAGGTTACTATTCAGATTTGTAGAGAGTCTCCATTGTACAACAATTTGGAAATAAATTATTCATTCTCTCAACTAAATTACAAAAAAAATATAAATAATTACACAGAGAAAATATAAAACATAAAATAAACAGCAGTGGGTACACTAATATCACTTGAAATCTTTACCTCTGTATGATTAGTTAGCTAATAAAGTTATAGCAGGTCATAAAGTTAGTTTTCTTGTAAGAAATGCATTATTACAAAAGCTTTTACAGAACAGCATTTGAATAAAAGAGGAATATTACTTCCATGGGGATTACTTTCTCTATGTTCACAACTATTTTGCCCATAATTTTCTTTGGTCCGGTTTTGTTGTTATTGTGGTACAAAACACATAATGTAAAACTTACCATCTAAACCATTTTAAGTATACCGTACAGTAGTATAAAATACATTCATAATGTTGTGTAATAATCATCACCATCCATCTCCAGAATTCTATTCATCTTGCAAAGCTGAATTTCCATACCCATTAACAATAACTGTACAGTTTATTTTTTCCTCAGCCACTGGCAACTACCATTATGCTTTCTGACTCTATGATTTTGCATACTCCAAGTACCTTGTATGATTGCAGTCATATAATATTTGTCTTTTTTCTTTCTTACTTCACTTAGCATAGTATACTCAGTTTATTCATGTTGTAACACATGTCAAAATTTCCTTTCTTTTTCAAGCTGAATAATATTATTGGGTATAATAATGAATGGGTAAACAGAATGTGGTATATACATACAATTAATAATATTGTATACAATGAATAATATTGTATCTGTATGCCACATTCTGTTTACCCATTTATCAGTCAATGATTCTTGGACTGGCCCCACCTTTTAGCTATTGTGAATAATTCTGCAATAAACCCAAATGTACAAATATTTCCTTAAGAACCTGGTTTCAATACTTTGAATACAATCATATTTTAAGTTTTTTGAGGAATGACTATACTGTTTTTCACAGTTGCTGTATGATTTTATATTACATATATATATGTATCCCAGAAAATAAAAGTCACTGGAGCGTTGGTGTGGCTATGTAGTAATTGAAATCCTTGTGACCAGTTAGTGGTAATATAAAATTGTACAGCAACTGTGAAAAACAGTATAGTGGTTCCTCAAAAAACTTAAAATATGATCCAACAATTTCACTTCTGTGTATACACTCAAAAGTATTGAAACCAGGTTCTTAAGGAGATATTTGTACATTTGGGTTTATTGCAGAATATATGTATATATATACATCCTAATATATATATATATATATATATATATATATATGTCATCCTAATGGGTGGCTTCTCTTTATACTTTCAATTGCATTTCCTTAATGATCCATGATTTTTAGCATATTTTCATGTGTTTATTAGACATTTTTTTTTTTTAGAAAAATGACTTCAAGTCTTTTGCCTATTTTTTAAATTAGGTCTTTTTTTGTTGTTGTTGTGATTTAATAGATCTCCATATATTCTGGCTATTAATTCCTTATCAGATATATAATTGGCAAATGTTTTCTCCCATTCTGTGGGTTGCCTTTTTACTCTTTGGATAGTGTCTTTTGATTTACATTTTTAAAGAAGTTTCATCAACTCCAATTTGTCTATTTTTTTTTCTTTTCTTTTAGTGCCTTTGGTGTCATATCCAAAATTTTATTGCCAAATCCAATGTCACGAAGCTTTTACTGTATGTTTTCCCACCAGATTTTAGTAGTTTCAGGTCTTACATTTAAGTTTTCATTCAATTTATGTTAAGTTACACATGTAGTGTTCAGTAAGGGCCCAAATAGGTTTTTTGTTGTTGTTTTGTTTTGTTTTTTGGCATATGGGTGTCTACTTTTCCCAGCAACATTTGTCTGATAGACGTGGTCTTTCTCCATTAAACTGTCTTGAAACTTTTGTAAAAAATTACTTGACAATATATGAGAGGGCTTATTTATTGATTCTTTATTGCATTTCATTGTTCTATGTGTCTTTATGCCAATGCCACAACGCTTTGATTACTGTAGTTTGTAGTAAGTTTTGAAATTAGAAAGTGTGAGTTTTCCAGGTTTGTTCTTTTTCAGGAATGTTTTGGTTTTTGGAGTGTCTGAGATTTTATGTGGATTTTAGTAAGGGTTTTTTATTGCTACAAAAAATGTTATTGATATTTTAATAGGGATTGCATTAAATGTATAGATTGCTTTGGGTAATATTGACAACAATATTAAGTCTTCCAGTCCATGAAAAGTAGATATGTTTTCATTTATTTATGTCCTCTTTATTTCAGCAATGTTTCAAAGTTTTTGATCTATAAGCTTTTCACCTCCTTGGGTTAAGTTTATTCTTAAGTATTTTTTTATGCTATTGTCAATGGTATTTTTTTCTTAGTCTCCTCACAAGGTTTATTGTTTGTGCATAGAAGTGTAATTTGTGTGTGTGTGTGTGTGTGTGTGTGTTGACTTTGCGTTCCGCTACTTTGCTGAGTTTATGTATTATTTCTAACCGCATATGTATGTGTTTGTGTTTGTGTGTGTGTAACACTTAGAGTTTTTTATATATTAGATAATATAACCTATGAAAATAGATAATTTTACTTCATTCTTTCCAATTTGGATGACTTTATTTCTTTTACTTGTATAAATGCTCCAGCTAGAATTTCCAGTGTTGTGTTGAATGGAAGTGGCAAAAATGAGCATACTTGCCTAATTCCTAATCTTAGAAGAAACACTTTCAATCTTTCATTACTTAGTAGAATGTTCATTGTGAGATTTTTGTATGTGACTTTTATTATGTTGAGGTAGTTCTGCTTCTACTTTATTGAATGTTTGTCCTATGTAAGGGTGTTAAATTTTGTCAAATACTTTCTCTGCAACAATTTAGAGTATAATGTGCATTTTCAAAATTCTGTTAATATGGTATATTACATTGATCAACTTTTGTGTATTTAACCATTCTTGCATTCTGGAAATAAATCCCATATTGTCATGGTATATAATACTTTTAATATGGTGCTAAATTCAGTTTAATAGTATTTTGTTGAGAAGTTTTACATAAATATTTATAAAAAACATTGATTTTTTTTTCTTTAGTGTATTTGGTATCACAATAATGCTAGCCTCATAGGATGAATTAAGACATGTTCCCTCCTCTTCAATGTTTTGGAACATTTTGAGAAAATATTATGTTCTTGTTTAAGTATTTTGTAGACTTCACCAGTGATTACATCAGGTCCAGGGCTTTGCTTTGTCAGAAAATTTTAAATTGCTAATTCATTCTCCTTACTTTTTTTAGTTTTATTCATTTTCTTTTTATTTCTTCATGATTTAGTCTTGATAAGATTTGTGTCCTGGGAATTTATTCACTTTATGTAGGTTATCCAGTTTTTTGGCATACAATTGTTCATAGCACTCTCTTTTGATCCTTTTTAGCTTTATGGAATAAGTATTAGTCTTCCCTCTTTCATTTCTGACTTTAAGTCTTCTATTTTTTTATTTTCTGTAACTTGATTCTTCTGTCTCTTTTTAGTCCATCTGGGTAATGATTTGTCTGTTTTGTTGAACTTTTCAAAGAATTATCTCTGGGTTTCATTGATTTTCTCTATTTTTTTCTACTCTCTATTTAATTTGCCTCTACTCAGTTCTTTTATTATCTTTACTTTTCGTAACTGTGGATTTAATTGTTTTGCTTTTACTATTTTGTTAAACTGTAAAGTTACATTGCTGATTTGTGATCTCTCTCTCTTTTTTTTTAATATAAGAATTAAAAGCTGTAAATTTCCCACTTGGCACTGATTTTGCCATGTCCCATAAGTTTTAGTATGTTATGTTTTTAAGTTTAATTATCTCTGAAGTATTTTCTAATTTCTCTTGTGGTTTTCCTTTAATATTTTGTTTGTATATTTTTAAAATAATTTCTAAATATTTATAAATTTTTCATTTTCCCTTATATTTTTTATTTCTAAGTATATTCTTCTGTTGTGGTTAGAGAGGATAATTTGTATAATTATATATATTTTTAAATCAATTGGGACTTAATTTGTGGCCTAAATTGTGGTCTGTCCTGGAAAATGTTCCATGTACACTTGAGAAAAATGTGTATTATATTGGTGTTGGCTACGGGGTTATTTAAGTGTCTGTTAGATCTATTTGGCTTATTATGCTGTTTAACTCTTCTATTTCCTTATGAATTTTCTGCCTGGTTATTCTATACAATATTGAGGGTGGGATATTAAAGTCTCCTATTATTACTGTAGAACTATCTATTTCTGTCCTCAATTCAGTCAGTTATTGCTACATACATTTTCATGGTCTGCTATTAGGTGCATATAAGTTTATAATTGATATTTTATCTTGCTGTATTTAACCTTTTATCAAGACATAATGTCTTTATTTGTCTCTTGTTAACTGTTTTGGTTTAAAGTATTTTTTTTCTCACATTAGTATAGCCATCCTTGTTCTCTTTTTGTAACTATTTGCATGGAATATCCTTCTCCCTCCTTTTATTTTCAATCAATTTGTGTCTTTAGATCTAAAATGAGTCTTTTGTATACATCATAAGTCAAAACTTCTATTTTTTACTCTGTTTTTTGATTGAAGAGTTTAATTCATTTATATTTAAAGTTATTACTAATAAGGAGGGAGTCATATGTCTCATTTTACTATTTACTTTCTATATGCCTTATAGCTTTTTTGTCCCTCGTTTCCTACATTACTATATTTATTTGTGCTTAGTTGATATTGAACATTGAAAGGTCATATGGTTTGGCCCTATCCCCACCAAAATCTCATCTTAAATTCCCACATGTTGTTGGAGGGAATAGCTGTGAGGTAATTGAATCCTCGGGGCTGGTCTTTCCCATGCTGTTCGCGTGATAGTGAATAAGTCTCATGAGAACTGACGATTTTATAAGGGGAAGTTTCCCTGCAGAGAGCTCTCTCTTTGCCTGCCACCATCCACGTAAGACCTGACTTACTCCTCCTTGCCTTCTGCCATGATTGTGAGGCCTCCCCAGCCCTGCGGAACTGTGAGTCCATTAAACCTCTTTTTCCTTATAAATTACCCTGTCTCAGGTATGACTTTATCAGCAGCGTGAGAACAGACTAATACAGTAAATTGGTACCAGTAGAGTGGAGCACTGCTGTAAAGAAAACTGAAAACATGGAAGTGACTTTGGAACTGGGTAACAGGCAGAGGGTGGAACAGTTCAGAGGGCTCGGAAGGAGACAGAAAAACGTGGGAAAGTTTGGAACTCCCTGGAGACTTGTTGAATGGCTTTGACCAAAATGCTGGTAATGATAGGAACAATGAAATCCAGGCTGAGGTGTTCTCAGATGAAGATGAGGAACTTGTTGGGAACTGGAGCAAAGGTGACCCTTGTTATGTTTTAGCAAAGAGACGGGCAGCATTTTATCCCTGCTCTAGAGATTTGTGGAACTTTGAACTTGAGAGAGTTGATTTAGCGTATCTGGCAGAAGAAATTTCTAAACAAAGCATTCAAGGGTTGACTTGGGTGCTGTTAAAGCCATTCAGTTTTAAAGGGGAAGCAGATCATAAAAGTTCTGAAAATTTCCAGCCTGACAATGTGATAGACAAAAACTGATTTTCTGAGGAGAAATTCAAGCTGGCTGCATAAATTTGCATAAGTAATGAGAAGCTGAATGTTAATCCCCAAGAAAATGGGGAAAATATCTTCAGGGCATGTCAGAGATTCTTGTAGCAGCCCCTCCCACCACAGACCCAAAGGGCTAGGAAAAACAAAATGGTTTGTGGGCCCGTCTCAGGGTCCCTCTTCTTTGTGCAGTCTAGGAATTGGTGCCCAGTGTCCCAGTCACTCCTGCCATGACTAAAAGGGGTCAAGAACAGCTCGGGTGTGGCTTCAGAGCATGCAAGCCCCATGCCTTGGCAGCTTCCACATGGTGTTGAGCCTGTGGGTGCACAAAAGTCAAGAATTGAGGTTTGGGAACCTCAGCCTACATTTCAGAGGATGTATGGAAATTCCTGGATGTCCACACAGAAGTTTACTGTAGGGACATGGCGCTCATGGAGAACCTCTGCTAGAGCAGTGCAAAAATGAAAATGTGGGGTCAGAGCCCTCCCACAGAGTTCCTACTAGGGAATCACCTAGTGGTGCTGTGAGAATAGGGCCACCATCTGTCCTCCAGACCCTAGAATGGTAGATCAACCAAGAGCTTGCACCATTTGCCTGGAAAAGGTGCAGATGCTCAATGCCAGCCCATTGAAAGCAGCCCGTAGGGAGGCTGTACCCTGCAAAGCCACAAGTGCAGAGCTGCCTAAGACCATATGGAACCCATCTCTTGCATCAGCATCACCCGGATGATACATGAGGTCAAAGGAGATGATTTTGGAGCTTTAATATTTGACTGCCCCAATGGATTTTGGACTTGCACGGGGCCTGTAGCCCCTTTGTTTTGGACCATTTATCCTATTTGGAATGGCTGTATTTACCTAACGCTTTTTGCCGTTATTGTATCTAGGAAGTAGTTAACTTGCTTTTGATTTTACAGGCTCATAGGCAGGAGGGACTTGCCTTGTCTCAGATGAGACTTTGGACTGTGAACTTCTGAGATCTCTGAAATGAGTTAAGACTTTGGGGGACTGTTGGGAAGGCATGATTATTTTTTAAATGTGAAGACATGAGATTTGGGAGGGACCAGAGGTGGAATGATATAGTTTGGCTGTTTCTCAACCTAAATTGTATCATGAATTGCCATGTGTTGTGGGAGGAAGCCGGTGGGAGGTAATTGAATCATGGGGGTGGGTCTTTCCCATACTATTCTCATGACGGTTAATAAGCCACAGGATCTCATTTCTTTTTTTTTTTTTTTTTTTTTTTTTTTTTGAGACAGAGTCTTACTCTATTACTCAGGCTGGAGTGCAGTGGCACGATCTTGGCTCACTGCAACTTCTGCCTCCTGGGTTCAAGCAGCAATTCTCCTGACTCCGCCTCCCGAGTAGCTGGGACTACAGGCGTGCTCCATCACGCCTGGCTAATTTTTTTATTTTTAGTAGAGATGGGGTTTCCCCATGTTGAGCAGGCTGGTCCCAAGCTCCTGACCTCAGGTGATCCAACCTCCCTGGCCTCCCAAAGTGCTGGGATTACAGGTGTAAACCACCACACCAGGCAAAGAGACAGATTCTTAATGCTTCCTACATTACAGCCTTCTCAGAATTTTCAGCATAATTTTCTTTAAATCTAACAAAGTCATTTTTCTTCTTAGGTAGAAAAACGATATTTTTATAATCAGCAATATGTACAAATTTCTTTTTTAATATTTTTTGATTATGTATTTCTCTGTCTCTCTTTCTCTCTCTCTCTCTCTCTCTGTGTGTGTGTGTGTGTGTGTGTGTACATGTAGGAAGGTACGTGGTATGTGTTTCAGTATGACATACTCAAGTTTCAGTTTCAACTTATATGAGTTTTATTATCTTCTTCTTTCCTGAATAGCTTCTCAACTTTCTAAACAAAAGCTCTGTCCAATGTTAGTTAGCTTGTTTGAAATAAACTCTCTTGCACACAGCGAAAACAGAATCATTTCAGCATTCAGCCATATAGAAGAAAACCATTATTCCCAGTAATTGCATGTTTTTTATTCTTATTCTTCATAATGAACTACCTGTCCACAACTATCATTTCCAACTCATTGTCTCATGGAATTTGGCAGGTTTTCTTTCTCAGATGACTGGCTAAATAATTTGTAATGAACTTTAAATATTGCATTCTCCTCTAGGAAAGAAATTTATGCATCTTTTACTACTCAAAATAAAATTCAAAGTCATTCAGCTGTCAGAGATATAGTGGCAATTGTAATTGAGAAACAGCTGTGTTTCTATTAATTTATTCTAAAATATTTGCTAAATATCTAAAAAATGTTAGAATAAAAATTCCATACATTGGAAATTAATGCCAAAATATCCTTGATATTAGCTATGACATGGAGATCACCCACGATTTATTTCAGCATGCTTGGTAAGTAGTGTGAATATTTAGCATCATAGACCCTACATGGTTTAAGCGAGATTAGGTATGTGGTAGATATGGATAAGCCTGTATTTCACAAATAAATAAATCACTTTTTCATGTCTTCATCCTCATGGCTACATTTATTGTGCCAAATATGAAGAGCTTTATACTTCTTAATGACTTTTCAATACAGATTAAGTTAGAATTACAAATGGTTATCCCTACAAACACAGTGCTGTTATAAACATAACACAATATTCAAGGTACAGGAGATTCAAGCTAATGAAGAAGGATCTCAATGCTTTTTCATTAAAGGTAGTGTAAAAATACAAATTTTATGTTTGGATTAGATATATTCTCAAAACTGAGTGAAACTAGATTCTAGACTAGCACAAGAAATTTCTTTAGTATTTTTGCTATCGCATATATAAATACTATGTAAATTCAATAGCATTCTGGAGATAGCATTTCCAGATCTATGATGAACAAAATAGCATAGTTAACATTTAGCAATATTTTCATGTTTTGAAAATGGATACAGATCTTCATTTTAATGAGTAACAACTTTCCTCAGGAATTCATAGAAAAATCCTCCATGCTATGAACTAAAAAATATCTCCTTATCTAAGTGGTGAGACCTAATAAACAAATCAGGTTTTAGAAAGTATGGTTAAAAAAAGAAAGACAAAGAAAGAAAGAAAGAAAGAAAGAAAGAAAGAAAGAAAGAAAGAAAGAAAGAAAAGAAAGCCTCTATCGAGACTTTTTTTTAATTGCAATTGCCTGGATAACCTCTTTAGTTGCCATTGTATAGCTTTCTGTAACAGATAAAAGTTTCTAGCAAAATTACTATGCCTTTAAGCTGTTGAATATATGTCTTCTAAATTCTTATTTATCTCATGGGAAACAGTGTTGTGTCAGAGGCCCTTAAGACTGCTTTAGATTCTATGAGCTAGAAGGATTCACAGGACTCAGATACTGTTACACTTAAGGTTATCATTTATGACACCACAAAGATACAAATTAGAATAAGCAAAGAAAAAAAGGCATATGGAGAGAAGTTCGGGTCAAAGCAGCACAAACTTCTAGGTATCCCCATTCAGTGGAGGCATACAAGGGAAGACCTGATTCTCCCAGGAATGCTATGTGAAAACATACACAAAGTGTTGCCAACCATGGAATTTCACTAAGTCTTGATGTCCAGGCTTTTACTGTCAGTCATATAAACATGGAGTGTCTGCATGACTGGCCTTAGTTACTCAGACCCCAGAACCCCTTTATCCAGGGGAAGAAAAAAAAACAACAAAAAACAAACAAAAAAAAAACCCTTTACCTTTATCTAGGGTAAAAACAGGCATTCGCCATAAATCACATTTGTTAGCATAAACTGTTTTGTTATACTGGTCACTGTATGATCAGGTTTAGAAAATATATTCACCATTAATTGTATATTTAGCATAAACTCTCTGGTCAAAATAGTATAGCACAGCCTAAGTCTTCAGAAATATGAAAACACTCTTAACAGGCAGAATATTCTACAGGCTCAGCCATCTTAAGGATCAGTGCGAAATACAAGCTTTTCTTAGGAATTTGCAGTATTGGAGAAACCCAGGTCTGCCCTTTCCTGCACAGCCTATCCTTCTGGCTCTTGTCCTTGGCTGTTTTCCAGCAAAATGATCATATGTTTCTGAGCGTCTACATTTAATATAGCATTTATATAACAGAGATAACAGTAAAATCCGCCTGGTGAATTAACCCTTTCTTGCACAGGTGGTTAGAATTTTTTCTTGCCATGAAAACTTACCATTGTAACAGCTTTGCCTTTTAACACTGAAACTAGTGTACTATTGTGCATTGTAGTATTGCTTGGCAAGTCACTGAGGCATAACTGTATTTGTGAAAGCATCAACTAAAATACCTGGAAGCAATACATGAACCAAAAAAACATGCTGAAATTTGTTGCTGTGTGGCTACCCAAGCAACACAGAGGAAGAAATTTAAGAAGGTATTGCATATCAAAAGTGGCTGTCATATAATATAAAGTATGGACTTAGATGGAAGATCTTGTAATTTATAGTTGTGTAAGTAAGTAGAATCTGGTGTGGGACTTTTTAACTTTTTAGTGAAATTTAGATTTAGAGTTTTCCATGACTATGAAAAGAATCCTTTGATATACTTTGTTAAAAGTGGCAATACTATGGCAAAATATATTGTTCTTAAATGCTCTGTTCTTAGGTGACTAATAGGAACAAAATAAGCCTCGTAAGCCTGCCCAATTGTATTTCATATATTTTGTTTCTTCTCTGGGCAATAGATTTTATGCACATACAATATAATCTATAAGCTCATAGATCAAATAAGCCATTTCAATCTGGTTCTATCCAAATTTTGAGAAATTCTTACCTTAATATCCCATTTTCTGATTTGTACTGTACAAGATCATCCTGGGTGATGCTGAGAGTAAGCATGTTGAATCTATAAAGCTTATAGTAGCCTTTATTATCTGAAAAACAAAAATATAGCCCATTAACATTGATAGATAAAAGCAGCCTAAAGTAACAAAAGTTGTATATATTCCCAAGATTATTTGTCAGTCTTTACATATGATTAGGCTTCTATATATCCTGAAAAAAGTACCAATACAAATATATATTCAAACGAATAGTGTAAATTATAACTAAAATAAACTTGTAAATGCCATCACTTTTGCATTTTGCCATTTTTTAAAATTTAGGTCTAATAAAATAAAATGCATAGATCTTAAATGATCAATTCTATGGGGTTTGAAAACTGGAAGCACCTATGTACTCATCTGTTTAAGACTTAATTATTATATTAATAACAGAAATAAAATAATTCCATTCTACCTGAAACCCTTGGGATTCCTTATAGTATGCAACTTTATAAACTTGTTTTAACATATAACAATTTGGATAATTCCTCAAAATACTTTTTGTATATTAATAAGGTTTATTAGCAATTACCAACAGATAAAGAAACAGATTTTTTTAAAGATAAACAGGTAGTGATAAAGATGAATAGACTGATGCTCTAACAAACTAAGGATTTCAAGAAAACCATATGCTTTATCTCTATTTGTAATTCTATTCTTGATAAATAACATGTAAAGATAAGATGATAGTGAAAATATGAAATGAAAAATAAGAGAATTTAGGCTTAAAATGAAGTCATATCAGTTTTCATGACATCTAAAATATCTTTTTGAATTGATCTTAACATTTTATTCTGTTTATTTGCAAGTATCATTTATTTTCATCATTAAAGCATTATTAAATCCATACTTTATATCAGTGAATTTTATTTTCCTAAAGTAAGGCATTAGAAACAAAATTTTTAAAGAAAAACTACAATAAAAAAGTGTATCCCACATAGTTGTCTCACATTAACTTTTTCCCGTATGTTTGTGTCTTTGATCTTTAATATAATCCAGAAAGTCTGCATCTGGAAGGTGCTAATTCCCAGATCCACATTTCAAAGCAAGGCAAATTAAGGTGCTAATTGCAGAAATCTAATTTCAGGGAGTACAGTTATCACCATACATTTAGAAATACAAACGTTACATAAAGAGGGAAATGTCACTAGATTGCATTTAGAAATAAAGCATTCTAGAACTTTTTGGTGGTTTCTTTGCATTTTATAAGTAATTCAATACAAATATTAGAGAATTCTAGTTTCTACTTTGAGATATAAAGAGCTTGGAATCTGCTGTTTTTATTTTCATAACAAGAAAAAAGCTGAACACACTGAAAACCAACAACTCTTCTTAGATTCTTCTGAAAATTGAAGAGAAATAATAAACCACTGTCCTGAAAACTGAAGAGAAAGGCAGATACCGAGAATCACAGCTTACTCGAAATAGAAACCCAGGAGCAGAAATCTACTCCTGGAGCCACTACTGGTAGAAACACTTAAACTCTGATACAATTTGAATGCTTAGTGTGTTCTAGCTTGAGAGTTAAAAACTCCAGGAGACTTAGTGTTAGAGGGAGCCCCAAATTTTCATAAATTTTACCTCCAGGAACCCCACCAGATTTTTGTGCTGAAGATTGGTGAAGAAATCCCATTATGCTTCCAATGCAGAGAGAGAAAAGATGGCAATTTTGAAATACACACCGAACTTTGTGTTCTCCAACTGCCCTCAAGGGAAAATACCCAAGCCTAACTATTGTGGGAAAAAGGAAGTACCTAAGTTGAGGCCGCTCTACCCTTCCCAGATCAACTTCCTGTATCAACTGAGTTTCAGACAAGGAGATCAAAAAAGCATTTATGAAGGTAACGGCTCAGACACACAGACCCACTGAAAATATCTGGACCTAATAAAAGGATTATAGAGCATTTTCTTTTTCCTCACCTTTCACCACAATACCAATAATGCTACTGTATAAAACAGAGGATTACAGCTGAAAGAATTGCAAGTGTCAGACTATACATCAGGAAGTTTTGTTTCTAGTAAAACCTAAAGACCACAGGGGGAACAAAAAACAACACCTGAGAGTATTAATGTCTCAGGCAGCAACAGCTCTAGAAAACTATAATCACAAGTTACCTTCTAGGAAGATCTCCATAATCTCTCACAACAAAGACCCATTTTTCTTAGTTTCTGTTATCAGATACATCATGTCTGACTTTGAACCAAAAATTACAAGGCATGCTAAAAGGCAAACACACACATACACAACAGAAAATGCCAGCAACAAAACACCTCTGGAGTGTTAGAGCAACCAACAGAACCAGACTCAGATATGACACAAATTTTGGAATCACCACAGCGGTAATTTAAAGTATCTATGTATAATATGCTAAGAAATCAAATGAAAAATTGATGAACGTGGAAGAATAGATCAACTCTTCAGAAAGAGTGCAACTCTAAGAAAGAATCTTAACATGCTAAAAAAAAAAAAAAAGGAAAATCTGCTTTTGATGGAATAACACATTGAATTGTGCCTAAGGAAAGAATCAGTAGGCTTGAAAATGACAATGGAAACTTCTCAAACATAAATGCAAAGAAAAAGTATAGTTGTAAAAAAAAATGAAAGAGAACATCCAAGATGTGTGGGACAATTACAAAAGGTGTAATATATGCATAATCTGAAACCAAAGAGAAAGAGAAAATAAAGCAGAAAAAATATTCGATGTAATAACAGTTAAGAGTTTTTTTTCAAAATTAATGACAAAGACCAAACAACAAGTCCAGGAAGCACTGAGAAAATGAAGCAGGATAATTTTGAAAAAAAATCTAAATATGTAAATAGCATATTCAATCTGTAGAAAAACAAAGTCAAAAAGCAAACCTTGAAAAATACCAGAGTATGAAAATGTTACCTATAAAGAAATGAGAATAAAAATTATAGTGAATTTCTTGTCAGAAACCATGCAAGCAAGAAGATAATAGAGTGAAACATTTAAAGCATTGAAGGAAAAACCCCATGAAACTGGAATACTGAATCTGGTGAAATTATCTTTCAACAGTAAAAAAGAAATAAAGATTTTGCTTTGGACTGAATTGGGCCCACCCTGCCCTCCCTCAAATTCATATGTTGCAGCCCTAACACCCAAAGTTAAGGTATTTAGACATGGGGCTACTAGGATGTAATTAGGTTGAGATGAGTTCATGAGGGTAGGGACTTCATTAGAAAATCAGTGCTCTCATAAGAAGAGATAACAGAAAGCTTAGCTTCAACCTGTTTCTTTCTGTCTTTCTGCCTCCTCCTAAACAGGACTAGGAAAGGCCATGTGAGGACACGGTGAGAAGGGAGCCATCTGCAAACCAAAAGGGGAACTCCAAGCAGACAGTGACTTTGCTACCACCTTGATATTTGACTTCCAGCCTCCATAACTTTGAGAAGTTGATTCCTATTATTAAGCCACTCAGTCAATGATATTTTGTATGGCAGCCAAAGCAGACTAATACAGACTTTCCCTGGCAAACAAAAACAAACAGTTTATTTTCAGCAGAACTGCCTTATAAGAAATGTTGTACACGACAGTGTATTATGTGACTATAGCTTATGGAATAAAAACAACATTGTAAGTAGTGAGAGGCAGGAATTGAGAATATTCTCTCATAAAGTCCCTGTCCTACCTAGGAAGCAGTACAGTGTTGTTTGACAGTGGACATAGATTCGTTTTAAGTGTATATAGTAAACTTTAAATTAACAACTAAAATATGTAAAAAATATAATTGATATACTAAGAGTGGAGAGAAAATGGAATCATAAAATATTCAATTTAAATATATAATGAAGAATATGAGAAGGTACAAAAAGGAAAAAATGTAGAAATGAATACAAAACCATTACAAATATAGTAATTTTAGAATACTTCCTAACTAATTCTATTATGTCACCATTACCCTAATATAAATATTAGATAAAAACACTGAAAGAAAAATTAGAAACCATTATCTTTCATAAACATATATACAAAAATCTTCAATAAAATATTAGCAAATTTAAGCGAACTATATATTAAAAGAATTATATACCAAGACCTAGGAGAATTATTCCCAAGTATGCAAGTCTGTTTCAACATTCAAAAACCAATTAGTCTGTCACATCAATAGGCTAAAGAAGAAAAATCATATGATCATCTTAATTGATGGAAACAAAAAATTTAACAACATCCATTAGCCCTTCATGATAAAAACTCAGCAAAATTAGGAATAGAAGGAAAGATTCTTGACATAACTAAGGAAATCTGTAAAAAATCCTGCAGACTTTTATACTTAATAGTTAGAAATTGGTTGCTTTCCTTAAGACTGTGAATAAGGCAATAATATTTCCTCCCACTGTTTCTTTTTAACATTCTACTGGAACTTCTACCTAGTATAGTAAGGAAATAAAGGAATACGGATTAGCAAGGAAGAAATAAAACCATGTTCAAAGATGACATGATTATCTATTTGGCATGATATAATTATAATACAAAATTTTAAGGAAATACTTATGAGTCCACATTAATTTTAATAAATTAAGGGAGCAGAGATAAATCTCTCATACAGAAGAGTTTCCAAGAAATTGTGTAGATCTTTTATTTTAAAATAGAGAAAGCATATTTCCTCACATTTTGAATGTGGGCTGTGTATTGTGACTTCTTCCTAAAAGTACAGTTTGCAAAAGGGAGAAAAAAATGTGCAACATCACTCTGGAGAAACTTGACAAAAATCACTTCAGCCATGTGAGCTAGCTCAACATTCATAGTCCCCAATGACACAGACAGTAGTATGCATCCTTATTAGAATGTGGTGAAAATAGCAGCTTACCTATGTGAACCTCCCTCAAATCCTGTAACCCACATCTAATCATGATAAAGCTCAGAAAATATTAACACAATTTCATTAGTTTTAAAATGTCTCATTATTTTGTTGTATATAAATGAATATCTAAAAGCTATAAAACTGAGAATAAATTATGGTTAATAACCAGTTAACTTTAGTATTTTTAGAAATGTAGTCTAACTTTCTGTACTTAGATTCAGTAGCGTATTTCTAAATTTAATCTAATTCAGTGTGTATTTACACTAATTCATTTATAAATAGAAAATATTAACTTGATTGAAATCAAGTAAAACACTTTTGACAAGCCTTCATGAAATTTTTGTCAGTTTTCATTTTAGTGCACTTAAACTCAGAATATCAAAAGAAACTGAAAATCTAAGTGATTTCTAAATTGTATAACTGTAAATGGTGTGAATTACAAGCCTGAGGAATATGATAGACTCAAACACGTATCCAAGAAGGCCCACATCAGGAGCATCTTATGTGTACTCATACAATATGAGTTTGAGAGAAAAGTCCCTTTGAAATCAGGCTACTATATGATGAGTAAACTATTTAAAATATCTTCGTTAAAAATTTATATTTTTAAAATATTCTATTTAACCACACATTCAGTCATTGCACATAGAAATTATATTTGCACCTGAGATTTTTGTGGACTGAAATTTATGTCTTCATACATTTCATATGTTGAAATCTAATCCCAATAGATGGTATTTGGAGGTGAGGCCTTTGAGAGGTAATTAGGTAATGAGGGTGGAGTCCTTATGGATGGGATTACTTTCTCTTTAAAAAGGAGGGAGGAAGATCACTTGAGTCCAGGAGTTTGAGACCAGCCTAGCCAACACTGGGAGACTCTATCTGTAAAAAAAAAATAAAAATAAAAACAAACAAAAAGCAAGCCAGAGCTCTAGCTTGCCCTCTTTCTGCCATGTGAAGATTCAGGAAGATAGCTGTCTGTAACCCAGAGGAAGACACTTACCAGAACCTGACCATACTGGCAACTCATCTCAGACTTCCAGCCTCCAGTACTTCCAGGAATAAATGTATCTTGTTTATAAGCCACCCAGATTATGGTACCTTTGTTATACCAGTCCAAACTGATTGAAACAGACGGTTTATTTATTTATTTTTTTTTACTTTTAAGGCATTGTTAATGTCTTTAGATTAAACAAACAAATTATTTAAATTGCTTAAGGGAACTTTCATCAGCCCTTGGAAGAGGATATGCTCAGCACAATTCTCTCAGCAAAAATATTTGAGTAACAAAGAAATTGATTCATTTATAAACATTTATTTTCTCATTCTTAAAAAATATATTCTGCCATGTGGAAATTAACAAAGAGGTTTTTAAGTGATTTTAAGAGTGGCTATGAATAAACAAAACTCAAATTTCAAAATCTAGCTAAACTGAGGAAGGGGGAAAAAGAGGAAGAGAGGAAAAAGACACAAATTACACATTTCAGAGACAAAAGAGGGGGCATCTCTACAGATCCTGCAGACATTAGTATAATAAGATAATATTATGAATACTTTTATATCAATAAATAAAAGTTTGGATGATGCCATGGGTTAAATTGTGTCTGCCAAACTTCATGTCGATGTCCTAACATTTGGTACCTGAAAATGTCAACTTATTTGAAAATAGGGTCATTGTATATATAATTACTTAACATGAAGCTCTTCTGGAATATGGTGGGTCCTTATTCCAATATGACTTGTGTCCTTGTAAAAGGAAGCTCATGTGAAGGGAGACACATATGAAGGAAGGATGATGGAAAGATGCAGGGAGAAGTTCAAGTACAAGCTGTGGTCATCTATAAACCAAAGAGAGAGCCTTGGAAAAGATCATTTTCATACAACCCTCAGAAGGAACCATCACTGCCAGCATCTTGATTTTAGACTTGTAGGCCCCAGAACTGTAAGGCAATACATTTCCGTTATCTAAACTATTCAACTTGGGATACATGGTTACGGCAGCCCTTGACAAACTGGTATCAGATGAAATGGACACATTCTTGAAAGGCGTAAGTCACCACAACTGGCACAAGAAGAAACAGAAAATCTGAACAGTGCAATATCAGTAAAAAAGAAAAATCAGAATTAAAATATTTTTAAAAAGAGACTCAAAGATGAGATGCTTCTTTTGAATCATATTATTTAAAAACTATTAATATCAAACCTACATATGCTCTTTAAGAAAATAGACGAGAAGAGAACATTTCCCAACTCATTTTGTAAGAATAGCCTCATGTTGATACCAACACCAGTAAGAAGTCATCAGAAAAGATAAACAGAGAGCAATACTTCTCATGCACAGGTATGCAAAAATTCTTGGCAAAACTTTAGCAAATCAAATATAACAATGTGTAAAAAAAGATACTTAATCATGATGGGATTTTAAACTTGGTTATAAAACAGAAGTAAATATATAAACATACATTTATGACAGATTTAAAATAAAACAAACATACGGTAGAGGAAATCAAAATCAAAAGTAGGTTCCATGAAAGGGATTACATTTTTACTGTTTGTAAAATTGATGAATTATTAGCAAAATTTATTGAGAAAAATAAAAAAGAAACGGAGTACCAACATTAAGAATGAAAAAAATAGACTTTACAACAGACCTTACAGACAAAAAAAGAGTATTAAATAGATATTATAAACAACTTTGAGATTATTTGAAATTTTAGATGAATTGACCTAAATACATGATATAACCTCAATTAAATCACAATATTTAATAATGAATAATGTTATATATGATATATAATAAATAGATATATAAATCTATCATCACACAGAGTGTGAATATAGGAAAAAATGAAGTAACACCTACTCCATTTAAAGGTTACATGGTTGGATACATAGAAAATCCAAAAGGATACATATATATGCATATATATACATATAACTAGAAGAGAGGAGTAGTTTTTGAAAGGTTATCAGCTCTGAGATCCTGAAATTCTAGGAATTAATCTAATGAAAGGTTGACAAGACATTCAGAACTACAAAACATTGCTGACATTTTAATGTACCAGAAAACTCAATATTTTAATGTAAAATCTTCCAAAGTGATCCATAGATTCCAGGCAATCCCGATGAAACTCTCAGAAGTTTTCGTGCATTTGTATGTATGTGTTCATGTGTGTGTAAATTAACATGCTAAATCAAAACTATATATGGAACTGCAAAGACAAGTCATAGTCAAAATTTTCTTAAGAATAATAACTTTGGAGGATCTTACCAAATTTGAATACCTATTCTATAGTAACAGTAACTAATTGTCTGTTATTGGTACAAGCATGGACAAATCTTTGTATTTGTTGGAACAGATAGGTTATGGAACAGAAGAGTAGTCCAGAAATACATTGACATATATTAGATTATTTAATTTATGACAAAGGTGCCACTGTAATTCCTTGGGGAGAAAGGAATAGTTTTCAATACATGATGGCAATCTCCCAACCCTCTTTGCCTGCAGGAGTATCAGGTGTCACAATTTGTATGCCCTCACAAAGCAATTTCTGGCTTCTTAATAACCAAATTACCAATTGGATGGTTCATGTAATTTTGTTTTTCCTTTCTCCTCTCCTTTTGTTCTTTTTCACGTTTATTTTCTTTTGTATCTCTGTGTATATCTTTTTCTACAGTTTATATTTTAATTTTTATTTTTAATATATTTTTGATCCAAAATTATTATATTTAACTGTCTACCTAAATTATATGAAAATATTGTTGATGTTCTTTGACATTCTGAATTAAAGTGTATATATCAACACTAAAAAATCCTGTGGCTTTCTCTGTGGTTATTATTTGCATTTAAGTTGAAATAATATCATCTCATTGCATTAAATTTCTCTGGTAAGAAAATTCATGTCTTTTGGAATCCACACAAGGTCTTTGTATTTTTTTTCCGTGGGAAAAATAGGCAGTGTATAACAAAATGCCTTTTGGTAATTTTCACTACATGTTAATGTATCTTATAACCTTGATGAAAAGTTACTTTTCAAGCCTAAGCTTTAAACTTCAATCCAAGTGAGACTTTAAGTTACACACACACACACACACACACACACACACACACACACACAATATAAAATTAATTATTGTTTTGTTCTTTTTTCCTATTGGTCATTTTTCACAAAGTATATGTTTAAGTAAGCGAAAGAAAATACTAACACCTTAAGAGTTACACAGGTATGTATATTCCCTTTCTGTTTAATTAAACACTTTAAAGATAATTTGAACTAATATTTTAACAGGATACTGTTTTGGAGGTGAATATTGTTGGATGCTTTAAAATTTAAGTTTCTTTTAATATTCCACTCCAACTTCATATTAAGGCATTTTACTTTTCAAAGAAAATAGGCATAATACATCTTAATCATCATCATTTTTTATATTTGTCTGCATTCACAGGTATAAAATGATATATTGTATTTTGTTTAATCTTAGAGGCAGCTGTGCTAACATATGTTTCATCGTTTAAAAGATGCCCCGTACATTTTTATGAGAAATAACACACTATGATGTCATTGTGAGCTAGTAACATTTTACCCCTCAAATGTATGCAGGCAAAAATACATATACAAATGGTTTAATCATTTGTTCACTAGCTTTAAGGAAGGCATTAAAATGATATAAAAATTTCTTTTCAGCTCCAATATCTTATACTTCAATTGGCATATCATATTCGGATTATACTCTTATTTTCCGTCTTACACATTTCTGATATCAGGGCTACTTTGAGCTTTTACGCTTCCTCTAAACTTGTACAAATATCCTGCTTATTTTGCTTTCTAATCCATCTTAAACTCAATCTGAGCAAACTAGTTTTTCTCATGACTGTTTAACTGAGGGACCCTGTTAATCTTTCAAGTTTCTTGATGATTTGGCACTTAGATGAAATTCAGTCCATTATCATGGATACATAAATACAAAAATCTACCTGATAATGTCCTATTGGTCACTATTGCCTTTTGGTGACTTTACATTTTTATCTTCAGTGATTATACTCACATACTCATTTGGCCACCAATACCTATGACAACACTGTAGACCTTGAAATTACCTGCAAATACTTATCTTCTAATACACAGATTCAAACATCTCATTTTTAGAACACATAGTATTCTTCCATTTCACTCACTTTGTTACTCTTTCTACACCTATTCTTCAACATTCATCAATATCTTGGAACTCTAGTCTTCAGACCACTGCTATTTTCTCCCTTTATGTCACTACATTTACTTCCACTTATCTAAAGTAGAGTCTCCCCTACCCTGAGCCCAAGAAACTCCTGCCAGTTTATTCAACTTTTTACCTTATTTTGTCATCACGTATTCTTGGTACAGGACCAAGCTTGAGTTAATCCAGAACTCACCCTTCTCTTCACTTACACCTAGAGCCTGAAGTGCTAAATGAAAAATTCAACACCCGTATCACTTAAATTTCCAACTCCAACATCATCAGTGTCCTTGATTTACCAATGCTCCAGTTCATTAGATAGAATTGTTTCATTTTTTTCACTTGTTTGTTCTTAGCAGATGACACTTCCTACATCACAGAGAAAACAGTAGGGTGAAACTCTCAAAAGTTATTTTTATGAAAACTACAAGTATAGATGACTTTTGATCCATTGTTTATCCTTCCATTCTATTACAGGAGAAGTGTGACCACTTCCTGTGTTTGAGACTACCTTGTCTTACGTGATCTATATAACTATATTACTTTGCCCTTTGTTATTGGGACTTCATTATTTCATTAGTCTCTATTTTCCAAATTTCCCTTCCCTTTAGCTCCTTTCATTCCATCCTGAAATTCACTCCAATAAGGCAATAAACCCTTATTGAATTCTTTTCATGTCTCTCTCTCTCTCTTTTTTTATTTTATTTTATTTTTTTTTGAGACAAGGTCTTGGTCTATCACCTAGGCTGGAGTGCAGTGGCGGGATGTTGGCTCCCTACAGTCTCCACTTTCTAGGGTCATGGGATCCTAAGTCTCAGCCTCACATGGAGATGGGTCCACAGACCTATGCCACCACACCCATCTAATTTTATTTTATTTTTTGGTAAAACTGTGGTCTCACTTTTTTTCTCAGCCTGGTCACAAACTCCTGGGCTCAAGTGATCTGCCCCCCTCAGCCTCCCAAAATTTTGGGATTACAGTCATGAGCCACTGTGCCCATCTTTTACTAAATACTGAGACATCAAGTTTCTGTAATTATTTCTTACCTTCCTAATCTTTTAATTGCTTGACTATAAAATGAGAAATTCTGGTATGAAAAATTTAAACCATAACATGAACATAATCTAAAAAAATTAAAAATCAGATAAAGATGGTAGATGAAGCATGTATATCACTTTCTTCTTTCTCAAACACACACATTTATATATATTTTTTAAAAGAAAATGATACTATAAATCCATCCTAAAATATACTTTTATCAACTTCAGATAGATCTTTAAAGTGATCTCTGAATTATATACTGTAAATGGGGTTAGATTGCTGGAAAATCCATAGCAGAGAAACCACAACACAGGCAGGTAAATACCATCCTAAAGGGAATAAAAAGTTGTATTCTAACAACATTTTAAAATATACCACCTGAAGGAAGACATCAGCAAAAACGCAGAGAAAGAAACTCCAAAATTCTAGTCTCCTTAAAAGCAATGAAAAAATTGGCAAAAATAGCAAAGTCAATTTTTCAAAACTCTGAAATTAAGCAAAGTATTGCAGCAACACAGGAACCTCTTATTTAAGAAAAACGGGTAATCTTAAAAAAAAAAAGCAAGTTTGTAGTATGTTGACTAACATAGCTCTGTCCCCTAATCCCCAGTTCAGTGGTAGTTGTGAATAACAGCCTGCATATGGAGTACCAGAGGGAGAAGAATGGAAGTAATTAAAAAATAATTTTAATGATGTGCTTTCTCCTATCTCATGACTCTGTGGGACACTTGTTGAAAAGGCTAGTGTTTATTTTACTGGACTGTTGGAACTAGCCCTGTCCGAAAGCTGTTATGTGTGTATATGGGGTGCGTGAGACCTTTTCCAAAACATTTACAGGGAAATGTTTTAGTCACAGCTGCCTGAGGTGACAGGTAGTAGTGAGGGCAAACAAAACATTAATCAAAATTCGGGGGAAAAAGTGCTATAGTAGTCTACTTGAGATGCTATAACAAAATACCAAAAACTGGGTGCCTTAAGTGACAGAAACTTGTTTTCTCAGAGTTCTAGAGGCAAAAAATATCAGATCAAGGTCCATCAGGTTCAGATTCTGCTGCGGGCTCTGCACCTTCCTTGCAGACAGCGGTTTTCTCACCGGGTCTTCACCTGGTCTTTGCTCTGTGCATGTACAGGGGGCATGGAGAAGAAAAGCCCCTAATGTCTTTCCTTTTAAGAACACACATCCTATCAAATCAAGGCCCCAATTTTATATCTCATTCAACCTTAATTACTCTTCCTTAGAGGGCCCATCCTCAAATGCTGCCACACTGGGGATCTGGCTTCAACATATGAATTTTGAGGGGACACAAACATTGAGCTCATAACAAATGTTCTGGAGTAAGATATCCTAAAAGTCTTTGAGAAGTTCTGATGTATTACTGGGATTGTAGAAGGCCACACACCTAGCAATGGCTGTGCACATGCTCAATAAATAACTGAGAAGTTTGTAAGTTCTCACCTGTAGTTGACCTTGAGGCTTAGTAAATGAAGACTAAGACAACGTTTTAAACTCCTGGGTGTTGAAAGTTAAAGCCAGCACATTCACAGAGTCCCTTAGTAAAGTTTGGAATTTTTTTTTTTTTTTGGTCTCAGGCACTTAATGAAATAATCATCTAATGATTAGAATTTATTTGGAAAAATTAATAGACAATATAAACTACAATAATTAGTAACAGCAACAAATCATGGGGATAGGAGAGATATAATTTTCAAATTTATCACATTATAATATGCAATATGTCTAGTTCATAACCAAAATAATTATGAGGCATGCAAAGACCCAGAAAAAAAAGGTCAACACATAGGAAACAAAAAACAATCAATGTAAACTATACTTGAAGAAGCCCAGATATTGGACTTCCTAGACAAAAGCCTTAAATCAACCAATTTAAATATGTACAAGGAGCTGAAACAAACCACATCTAAAGAAATAAAGAAATGTATGAGAACAATTTCTCACCAGAGGATGTAAATAAAAATACAATAATTATTAAAAAGAATTGAATAATATTCTTGTAGCTAAAACATATAATAAATAAAATTATTACCAAAATAATTTCAATTAAAAATCACAGCAGATTTGAACCGGTGCAAAAAGAATTAATCAACTTGAAGATAGATCAACTGAGATCATTCCATCCGAGTAACAGAAAAAAGGAATGCATGAAGAAAAATAAACAATTTCAGACTCTTCTGGGACAGCAGCAAGCACACTAACAATATACAATGGGATATCAAAAGAGCAGAGATTAAAACAAAAAAGAGTAGAAAATATTTGCATAACTAATGGCAGAAAACTTGACAAATTTGATGAAAAACCTAAATCATCTAAGAAGTTCCATGTAGGGAAAACTTACTCAGATCTACATCTAGACATATAGTCAAACTTAAAAAGACAAAGAAACAAAGAGAGACTCTTAACAGCTTCAAGAGATAAATAATTCATCTCGTGTAAAGGATTCTCAATAAGATTAACAGCCAATTTCTCATCAGAAACCATGAAGGCCTGAAAGCAGTGGGATGAAAGTGCTAAAAAAAAAAATCACTGGATTCTTGTATTAACTAATGATTTAAATACAATTTTTGACACATGTTCATTTTATATTTACCTGTAAATTATTTTAACTTTCTGAAAAATATACTTTAATAATGACATTAATATGTTACTCTATTTTTTATTTTTAAAATTAAAAAATTTAAAAAAAATTTCTGCCACTGTAACAAAATACCTGAGACTGGGTAATTTGTAAAAAAAAAAAAAAAAAAAGGTATTTAATTCTCACCCTTTTGGAGGCTCAGAAATCCAAAATCAATGTACAAGCCAGTTCATTGTCCAGCGAGGGTTCTCTACTTTCAGTGTAGAGGGTTCTGTAATTTCAATGTAGCACCTTGTTGCTACATTGCCTGGAAGAAACAAACACTGTGTCCTCACATGGTGGATTTAGAAAAGCAAAATGGCCTGAACTAGTTTCCTCTAGCCCTTTTTGACAAGGCACTAATTCATTCATGAGGGCAGAGTGCTCATGACTTAATTACTTCCCCCAAAATTCCATCTCTTAATACCACTACAATGGAGATTACTTTTTAATACGAATTTTGGAGGCGACACATTCAAACCATTGCACCCAGATAGCAGATTAAACATTATTTCTGGATGAATCTGTGACAACGTTTCTGGATGAGATTAGATTTGAATCACTGGACGCAGTAAAGTAGATTGTCCTTCCAGAGTGTGTAAGTATCATCCTATCTATTGAAGGCCTGAATAGAACAGAAGGAGATGAAATAAATCTTTCACTCCATTTAGCATTGCTTCTTAAGCTTCTTCTGCCTTTGTATGGGAATTTACACCATCAGCCCCGCTGGTCTTGGGCTTTTGGACTATGACTGAATTACACCACTCAATTTTTGGTTCTCCAGTTTGTAGACATCAGATAGTGGGACTTCTCATCCTCCAAAGTCATGTGAGCCAATTTCTCATAATCTCTCTCTTTATGGATAGGGAGGTACATAGATGTATATATCTATACCTGTATGTCTACATAAATGTATCTATCTCTATATCTCCTACTGGTACTCTGGAAAACCTTGCCTAATATAATTCTTAAATAGAACTTGTGGTCATTTTGATTGTTATATAAAAAGGTAACACGTGATGTGTTATTTATAACTGAATTTACAAAACCATGGAAGACACATCCATGGTGGAGGGCTACATTGTATATTTTGGGTGCCAGAGTTACAGTCTTGATGTGCATGATCTTAAACAAAAGTTATTATTTTAATAATTGTTTGTTTAAAACAAAACATGATTTTACAACATAGCTTCATATATTTAAAAACGAGAATGATGCAGCTTACCTCACTATTTGTAAAGCAAATGCTCAAATAATTTTTTAGAGTTGAAGAGAAAAATACACATCTGATAGGAAAGACAGAAGACAGAGAAAGAAAAAAATTAGCAGTAAAGAAGTGCAGAAAATGCCACAGAAGGAAAAAAAAAAGAAGTAATGCTATAGGTTACTTCTCCCAAAAGATATGTTGAAGTCCCAACTCCCAAGATGTGTATGTAATTTTATCTGGTAATAGGTTTTTTGCACGTGTAATCAATGTAAAATGAGGTCATACTGGATTAGGGTGGGTCCTAAGCCAATGAATGATTTTCTTATAAGAGGAGCAATCTAGATGCTTGCTAAGAGGCAGACATAGAGAGAAGGCCATGTGACAATAAAAGCAGAATCTTCTGCTGCACACCAAGTAATGAAAATGACTGCCAGCAACGATTAAAAGCTAGGAAGGATTATTTACTAGAGCCTTCAGAAGGAAAATGACTTTACTGATACTTGAGTTTGGACCGCTCTGCCTTCAGAACTGTGAGAGAATAAGTTTCTGTTGTTTTAGGCAAATCTGTTTGTGGTATTTTATTACAGCAGTCTTAGGAATCATATTATAGAAATGTGAAGGTGCCAGACACACGCTTAAATCACAGTTTTTCTCTTTCAAGTGTCTGGAGTTGCTTTTTTTTAATGTTTAATATGTAATTTATTTAGCTGAACAGATACATTAAAGTTTGAAGCAATGAGGGAAACTAAAAAATAATTGTTCCTTGATAGCAGAATAAATAAATTAATAATTTAGATCATGGCTTTTCTCTGAGGACAACATAAAACATAAACTGCCATATTCTTTTTTCTTTTTAAAGTAAGTGACTATTACAGGGATTGGGATAAAATAAAGCACTTGCATATGGAGTTTCTAACTCTAACGAAAGAACAAATCATTAATTATTATTATCAGCCACCAAATTTGTAATCAAATTTTACATGCATCTATTCTAACATTTGTTCCTGTATTAATTCATTTATTTTCTTAGATGAAAGTAGTTATTTTAAGACAATTACTACAGTAGCTCGCCAAGACCAACGAATTTTAAATACCAGTATTGTCACTACAGTAAATACCAGTATTGTCACTACAGTAAATACCAGTATTGTTACTACAGTAGCGCGCCAAGACTAATGAATTTTAAATACCAGTATTGTTGCAATTTACTTGCCCTGTCTTGACTTTAGATCTGTGATATTAAACTCTATTAATCAAATATATAGGCATTGGGTATGTTGATATGTTAATTTTTCATGATTTTCATCATAAGATAGCTCATAGGAAATTGAGAAATAAACAGATAAAATCATAGTAGTCAAGGGATATATCTACCTCTGAAATAACATTAATGGTAACTCATCGGCTATTGGTATTCAATACTGTTACTGGATTCTTCAATAATTTTCTAGAACATGCTTACTATATAAACAGAGTATTTCTAATATTTAAAAACATAAAATAATCTGAAGCCACCTATAAAATTGATGTTTACCAACAGTTTCCTAGTGGTAATAAAAGGCAGATGGGATACAAATACAATTATGTTCAAATAAAAGTAAAAAGGATTAATGCAACATTTAGGAAGGAAAATAGCAATTAAAATAATAGCTGAATTAAGTAAAGCATCATCCTGCATATTATTTGAAGGCTTGTAAACATACAAATGAAATATGCAGATATTTATTTATAAATATCCCTGAGTATTTAAAAATTTTTTAAAATGTATAAGCAAAATATATTTTTATCTGGCATATAGCCTAGAACTATACTGACAGATTGAATTAAAGAACTTTGTCTATTTATCTTTTTCATCACATATAGTTATATAATGTTTATGATGTACCAGACACTACTTAAACAACATTACTAACAAAACTTTATAAATATTTAGTTCTCATAACCACTTAATGTGGCAAATTTTCTAAACATACATATCTAGTAGATAATAAGGTGGATTTTGAAACTAGTAATAATTTGTGTGTGTGTGTGCTCTTTCTCCCACTATATCTATTTATACAGATATTTATGTAATGTGCATAAACACTATTTATATAAATATATTTAATATTTATTGAAATATATAAATATATGATCTATGTATTTATGTATATATGTGTATAAGATGTATACATACATTATATAAGTGTATATGTATTATATATGTATATGTACATATGTGTGTATATATGTATTAAATTTGAATATTATGAGAACCAATTCCAATTAAGCCGAGGCTGTTAAAACGGAATTCATTAATTTACTTGTTTTCAAGGTCTTAATTTAATTAGATGTTGCTGTGAAAACAAAGCATAATTAAGAGACAAAAATAAAATGGACGACTTTGTAGTAAAAGCACAGTTTAAGGAAAATAGTATAATACATGTTTGTGTCTATATAAATATGGTAGAAAAATAAAATGATTATTCAGATTCACCTCATAATCTTTATTTTTTAAATATTGATAAACAAGTGGTTTTGAACACATCTTTATGAATAATTGGTGAGTAAAGCAAAGATTAAATAATAAGTATTAGATTATATAAAATTTCAATTAATTTGATAATTGACTTAACATTTTCATGTAAAATTTATACCCCCAAATAAAAGAGTTTCTTACCTATATGTGGAACAGAGAAAGTGAGGAAGGTTGGATCAGAAATCATTTTGAATTCATTTTTGAGGAAGCCATTCCAAGACAAAACAAGAAGGTGCTGTGAATGGCAGGGGTTGTGGGATTTCCATTAAATACTGTGTCTAATAGAGTACTTTTTAGTGGCTTTTCTCATAAAATACATATTGTCATACTGAAAATTGATTATAAATATGAAAATATGACATAGATTAGTTTCAGTATTCAAAACTGTGCTTGTAATTAATTGATCTGACTGGAATAGAAACTCTCGTTTTTCTTTACCAAGCATAAAATACTTAACAATATGTACCAAATTAGTCATATACTGTACTATAAAACATATTTATAAATGTCAAAGTTTAATTTCATGACCTAAATTTAATAATGATTTTGTACACTATTTAAAAAATGAATCAGTATGGCCAGGTACGGTGGCTCACACCTGTAATCCCAGAACTTTAGGAGGCCGAGGCAGGCAGATCACGAGGTCAGCAGTTCGAGACCAGCCTGGCCAACATAGTGAAATCCCGTCTCTACTAAAAATACATAAACTAGCCAGGCATGGTGGCGGGCACCTGTAATCCCAGCTACTCCAGAGGCTGAAGCAGGAGAATCGCTTGAACCCGGGAGGCGGATGTTGCAGTGAGCCGAGACCATGCTATTGCACTCCAGCCTGGGTGACACAGCGAGACTCTGTCTAAAAAAAAAAAAAAAAAAGAAAATCAGTCAGTATGACAAAATCTAGCAATCTCTATACGCCTACACATAAGCACACACACACATATATATATGTGTGTATATATATATGTATGTATGTGTGTGTATATATGTGTGTATGTATGTGTGTGTGTGTATATATATATGTCCTATATATATGTCCTATATGTATATAGTCCTATATATATATGTCCTATATATGTGTGTGTGTGTGTGTCCTATATATATAGGACCTTCCAAGTGTGACAACACATAGTTTTAGATGGATTATAAACAGTGTCTACTATAATTGAACATATATACATATGTAGTTGAATATATGTAGATTTTCTATTTAAAGATAGGCTATAGCCTTTTGAAAACTTTAGCAAGTATCTTAAGTATAACTCTTGGGTCTGCTACTCCAGCAACATAGTTCTGATCATGATATTACTGCCATTTCCCTCAACATTACTCAGAATTCTATTAGAAACAGTAAGGTATGACCCCAGCTTCAGCACCTCTCACAAAAGACACCATTCAACTTCTTCAGATATCTTCTCTATCATGCTCCTGAGACATTACTCTCTCTTTCTCTAGGGAAGTTGAATGTCCCATGACTGCTGGTGTAAACAAGTAGGTGAGATTTGACTGCCTGACTTTGGACATTTCTCTAACAACAACTACACTCAATTATTTTAACTGAACTAGGATCCCTAAAACCTATTAGCTGACCAGGAGGCCACATTGGAGGCACTGTCAACTTCTGCTTACCAGCAAATGTCCCCCATTTTCGGAGAGGGTGGCAATAAAGTATAGCCAATACATTTCTTTCTAGGGTCACCATGTATGTCCTCAAATTTGCACTTCTTTATATGAAAACCAGGCATTAATGCACTCCTATTTCAAAAATATAACAGCTCATACATTATGTGGTGTCGTAAGAGATCTTTAAGTGTTTATAGAAATATCACATCTGCCATGGAAGACATTCAGGTCAGGCTCAACTCAGTGGCCAAGATTGTTTTGGGTGCTAGAATTTCACTATAATTCATTCTTGAGGGCCAAGGTAGTTTGTGATTTTTTTTTCACCTGGTTGAATCTGGAAACTTAGGGGGAAGTTTCAAGGTTAATATGACAGATTAGCCTTATTTTAAATTTGGAATTCTGCTGATAGTCTGAATTAAATGCTGTATGAAACAACTGAGATTATTTTTTCCCGACTGTCTGTCGTTTTTATTAATCAGAACGGTTGGCAGAACAACATTCTCATGGGACAATTCACCAGAAATCAAGACAGTGGAGAAAAGTAGAATGGGCCTCTCGCCTTTACATGTGTGTTATAAGCAGAGGCACTCATGGCTTTTGTTCTGTACTGTCTTTTCAATGATTTTTTCATAGCACACAAACATCATTGAAAAGGAGATGGAGATTTTGCTTTATTCCAGAATTAAGGCAGGTTTATTTACTCCTAAGTGTAATAAAAATGATGTTTCTCTTTGGGACAAAGTTCAGCTATGTTTGCTTGTGGTCCAGAAAAGGTCATGAGGCAGCAAAGACAGCATCCTCCTGGTCCATTCTCCATCACCCTGTGGGACTCACGGGACAAGCAAAGCTGGCATGAACTTCAAGATCATGCTGTCTGCTGTGTCCTGAGCAATAAAGTTCTATGACTGTCCCAGGAGTCTTGAATCTTCTGCCAACATATATGAACCTGCAACAGGCTAAATTGTTAGCTTACACGTTAGTTAAAATTCCAAGAACTCTTCACGGTTATTGAAATGAACCTCATATATTCAACCTCAGTAATTTTGGGGAAAATTCATGATCTCTTGATATTAGAACACTTTATAGTAGTGACTTACAGATATTTGTGGTAAAATATGTGCAGAGGCAAAGGAATATATTTTGTCGCAGAAGGCTAAGAGTAGAATCTGAAGTTTGATTTCCATTTCTCTATACCTTGAATCTTCTTCCAAATCAGATTTTCACATGAGAAAGAGTCATGTTAATTTTGCTTTCCTCTACATAATGAATTCACATTTGTTTTTATATGAAAATTATACATTAAAAGATTCTTCATATTCCTACTTGTCCTCTGAGCCTCTCCACCATGCAATCTTCATGTTGTATATATGGACTTAATGCTCACTGGCATAATGTTCTTTGTAACTAGGGAACACAACTCAAATTCCCTGAGGATTTGTTTGACTAAGATTTCAAATGGTTGTTACTAGGTGGCCATGAAATTCATCATCTCAAGCCCAGATTTTCTGATTATCTGGAGTCATGTAAAAATCCAGTAATATTCATTTTTAGAAATGAATACCTTGCACAGCATTTTCCCTTTGCCCGATTGTCTGCTAATTTTTCAGTGCTCCCAATGCTGAACTAAAACATGGTCAGCCACCATCATGTTCCCTGGGAGTCATGAAATCATGACATCTTGGAGACTCCACCACTTTCTTTAATAGCCTATTTGGAAACACTTTTATAGCTGGCAGCTTCTAGATGAGATTTAATCTGACTTTTTCCCTCTCATTGTATCTGGATGTTTTGGTTGTAAGTGGATTCCAAGTTAGAATTTAATTTTCACTGGCATTTATTAGTAGAATATACTTCTAGATTCAAAATGTTAAGATATACACAAATTGGAATTTTATAAATGGACAAATTTTAAGAGTGTTTTGTTGATACAAATTTTGCAACACTATTATACATCAACCATAGAGGATAGGCAGAAACAGAATAGATAACTTTTTTCAAACCTGTACATACTCCTAAAAATGGAGAAAATGTGAGGGCATTTAGAAGACTTTATTTTTCCCCATGCCATTTTTATGCAGTGGAAATGCTTAGATAATTTATGCAGTGGAAATGCGTAGATAATCATAGAATTACATTGAAAATTTGGATTCAAATACTGTGAACCTCCTGAGATGAAACTCCTAAGATGATTAACATATTTAAGCTCAACCAAAATAATAAATTATGAAAAATATAGTAAATAATTGATAGGACTTTAGAACATGTTGAAAGTTCTATTTGTGTTGATGTGTATTTAATGACTTATGTGGTCATATTTTAGGGTAGAACAATGCAGGAACTATTATTTTTATTCATCGTCAATCTAAATATAATTTCCAAAATGATCTGTAAGTTTATTATTTAAGTGCATTCATACCTTTATGATTTTTAAGGAAGAATTGGATAAGAAACAGTCTTTTAATGAGTTCTGATTTTTTGAAAATATCTGTAGTTCATACTCTGGGGTATTTATAAGTTTAAACATTATATTAATAGAAGATAATTAAACAGTAGGTTTAAGTCCCTGATCAGCTCAACACTTCTTGAGGGTACTAGTGCAAATGTGTTGTCCTGAAGTGTTTGAAATTGGTACATACAAATGTAAAATACATTTTGAGAATATCAAAAGTCGTATGGATTAGTTATTGATAAATTTTCATTGGGGCACAGGAATATATACTAACTGACATTTTAGTGAGGGAAACAGAGTTGTCGATGGTGACAGGGAAAAATCAAGAGTGATTGATAAAGGAAGTGGCATTTAAGATACACCTTGATATCTGCCAAGATTTTGACACTTAGAAATTTAGAGAGTATGTTCGTCGTGGAGAAACTATTATCAGTCATTAACATCTAGGCTGCTTAGCATATAATTTTTAATTGTTAAGAATAAAAGGGAAAATAAACCCTTCAGTGAAATTTGATCTCTAAGGAATTATTTTGGAGAGAATGCGGAAGAGTGAAAACAAGTTTTTACTCCTGATGTAATGGAAGGCAACAGGCACAATATGGGAATGAGAAGCAAACATAAGGTAAAAAGGCAGAAACTGGGCACCAGCTTGAAGGTGACGTACTAGAAAGTAATTTTAGCCTGTTGGTGCTTTGTGCTACTCAGGAGATTCCTTTATACCAACTGTTTCTGCTCAGGAGATGTTGCCTTGTAAATTAGAATCACAGATCATTTTATTTCCCTTTAATTCTAATCAGGTACTTGTCATTTTAAAGGATTCATATGAAAAGGTAGCTTGCATTTTCATCCTCAATTTTAAGAAAATAAACTTGTGAGAATTTGGTAAAATGTTATGTCACACTCAGTAAATTAATAACTCATATTTTCTCTATTTACATAAGTAAACTTTGAGGGGACTGACAGATATGTCCTGGATGTGAAAGTGCTACCACACGGGGCCATCTGGCTAATCAGATGTCAGCTTTCTTTTTTTTTTTTTTTTTATCAGAAAATGTGTTTATTTTTGTTAAAAACGAAGTGAGTATTGCTAGCAAACCTTCAGAGATAAGATTACCAAACCCTTATCAGAGCCCTTGTGTAATAATGTTTTTGTTCTGCATTTCTTTATATCAATTTTACATTTCTTCTTCACCTACAGTTGTTGAAGGTTAGTCAATGACTTGGAAAAAAAGTATATCTGACTATAACGAAAAGGAAATTAGTATAGTTAAAATACATGGTATAGGAGAAATATTAAAATTACTCCTGGATATGAATATAGGCTTTGCTGCTCAAAAATCATGACATTGAAAGTAATTTCCTCCCTTTTTTCCTTCAGTTTCCATATATGTAAAGCATTTCAATATTATGAGAAATTGTAAGATGTATCTCCTAGCATAATATAAAGTTATCCTCAGAGGTCTCCTTGCCAGCCAGCTGGATAGTACAGAAATCACATTTCAATCTGTAAACTCAAGAAAAGAAGAAAATATACCTTTATTCTTATTACTAGCTCTTGCTTGCATAGTATTCATAAGTAGGGGCTACATAAACATTAGTGGAATGAATATATGAATAATGCAACCAGCCAAATAAAAATTTGAATTCTGAAGTCCATTTGGTAACACTGATTATGAATTTTCTATTTTGATATTCTAAAACAGAGAATCTGTTTTAAAATTACATCTGCAATCCTTACTTCCAGTTTCTGGGTAAGGTGTTTACACAAGAAATTCTTATAAATATTTGTAAAATGATTAATGTCATCATTTCAAATTCAGTCCTAAATTTGGAAAGTTTGTGTTTTAATTCTTGGGGATTCAATGCTAAAGTATGTTTGGTTAAATTGATTGTGTATCTTCAGTTTGGACCTTCCAGAAATTTGGCCTCTTGAGTGGGATATTTAGTCCCATAAGTGTCTTTCTTTTTATCATATTTATAATTTGTACTAATGTCATGTAATAACTTTATGCCAAAGTTTATTTGATACTTGTCATTGCTTTTCCATTGTAATCAATCATTGGCTTTGGAAAATAGAAAGGTTAAAATGACATATGACAGAAACACCTTGAACTTTTGTAAATCCCATAGATTACATATTTTGCAGTATACATACAATGTAATGTATATTGCATTGTAGTTTGAGACCTTGTTAAAACACACAGCCTATAAATTTTAGTGATAAAAAATTATGGAGATGCATTTTGTTGTGCTAACCAATTGATTCATTCATTTATGCATAGTTTTGGAAACTGCTTTCAATCCTTTTCACAGCTTCTCCTTTTGTTGAAGAACAGTTTGTCTTGATTAAATCAGCAGTCTACTGATTTGGTCATCTTCTCCAATGTTGCCTGCCAACAATGCACTATTTTCACTTTTGCTAAAGTAATAGTTCTAAGGTAAACATACATTATATCTTTTGACCCCCATACTTGTATCATTCAAAATTGTCCTTCAGGAAAACAAAATTTAGTCTGTGATGGAAAGTAATTTATGATTTGGCTTCTGTTGATCACTCCAACTACATCCTATTAAAGTCCTGCTACATATACAACCTTATCGGCATACACTTTTCATATTAAATATATTGCAGGTTCTCGACTACTACATGCTTTTCCATACCTCCATGCCTTGGCATACACTGTTCCTTCTTTTTGAAACATATCATTGTTCCCTTACCTTTTAATCTCTGGCCTACACACATTTACCCTCCAAAATGCAGCAGAAACATCACCACTGAGGTTTCACAGAGGCCTTAACATGGTCTTACTTGCTTCTACTTCACTTTCTGATTGTACTACCTACATACACATTGAGCACTTTCAGTATGGCTAATGAGACTGAAGAGCAGAACTTTTCATTTTGTGTAATTTTTATAAGTTTAAATAAACATGTATGGATAGTGGTTACTTTACTGGAAAACAGAATTGAAAGAAAGGTTAATTTCTTACTGATGCAACTTCTATGTATCTCCTTGAGTAAGTCATTTTACTACTCTGACTACCATTTACTTCAGTGTTAAAGTGTACATTTTAATATTAATATCCTTCACAAAGTTTAGAGGAGTCTCAATTGGATAACATATGTGAAAACACATCAATAATAGCAATTTATGATACAAATGCTAGTTATGATGACCAAAAAGACTATACAACTGACTTTTAAAAAATATAACTTTCAGCTATTCTTTATCTCATGCTCAAGTAATGGGCAAATAGGTGAACTGCCTATTAATTTAATCATGGCTAATTAATATTTTGCTATATAGTGTTATTGCCCTGTGCTGCCAGTACATAATTCAACATTTCTTTCATTGTTGGAGAGCCACTGACTATAAAGGCAACCAACAAATACGAAATCCATTTTTTTTTACATTAACATCTTTCTTTTGCTGAATAGCATTATTTTTTCATGCCTCTATTTGGCTTTTAATAAAACAGAATTTTAAAATATGTAAATAACCAGAATGTTCAAGAGATGTAGCTTTATTACATCATTTTGTTTGTCTCTTTTTTGTACTCATATGAGGAAAATAATATTCAATTTAAATATGTTATTCAATATTCTTCAGTGTAAAACATTCTATTGAAACATTGCATTTCATTTAATAACTTGGGAAATATATGTATCTTAAATACAATAATTGTTATAAAAAGATTTTTAGTATATTAAATGGGGTAACTTGGAAACAGTTCTAAGACCTTTTCGTAGATAGTATCTTGAACACAAAAAAGTAGGATACTATTTATTGTAAGTGAATTGCTACCGGAAAGTTAATAGCAATATTAAAGTTGTTGTAAAATTTTGATTTTGCTATACTATTGATAAGCTTATGAAATCATGGTAATTTAAAAGCCATATATGCTCATAATATAATTTGAATACACCTATAATTTACAGAATGAGAAATTTAGACAGCTCTGTCAGAAGAGATCACTGTCCATTAAGGTAAGAGATTGTATTAGGTGGCACTTCTTAGTTAAGACAGGACTGCATGTGAAGACTTAGTATTTACAATTTTAGTTTTACCTTTTTGTTGTTATATTTTGATAATACTCTAGAGTTATTTTTTATTTAGAATACTGACAAGTACGAGTTAAAGTTTATTCTAAAAAGAAAAAGGCATTTCATTTGTATATAAGTATTCAGTAGTAAAGTTTAGTGATTATCTTATGATGTTAAAATGTAAAATAAACTCAGATATTTAATTAATTTACTTAGACATATATACAGTATTATCTGTCAAAATAAGATCAGTTGCAATTAGCATTTTCTGACCATGATAAAGAAAACTGGACAAAATATATTGGGAAAAAAAGATGTTTAGAAATTGGAAACAGGCAAATGGAATATTAGTCTTGAGAGATTGTTTAAAAGAGAGGCAACCACTATGGCAGTCCATGTTTGCTCCCGACAGCATTTTCTAGACCATAAAAGCCAGGGGGAGATAATAAAGTTTTTTTTTTCTTTTCTTTTCTTTTGTCTTTTCTTTTGATGTATAGTGGAAGTGGTGGACAAGGGGAGAAACAGTTGGTGTTTTCAAGTAAGAGTACCAGAAAGGCAGAAAGGAGAGACCTACTTAAATAAAGAAGAAGAAAAAATGTGTTTGAGTATCTTTTGGATTATTGCTAAATATTACCTTGTACATATTGAGAATGAGATTCCACAGTGGCGATCCAAGAACAACTATCATGGAGCAATAAGCTGGAGAACAAGAGTTTGTGAAATCCTGGGAGATGCTGGAGTCTCAATTAGCCACAGAAAAGAGATATTGTTGAAAACCTGAGTATAGCTAGAGTTGCGTTAGAGTAATAACTATCCTTTCTGTACTCTAAAAAGTTTAGAAAAGAAGGTCTGGATGAGTCAAGTTTATGCAAAAGTAAGTTAACTATCTGAAAATACTTTTTAAAAGAAAACGTACCCGTTCAAAATATCCAGTGTACAATAATGACATTAATAGATATTCAAAATAGCAAGAAGTGTAACACACAACTATGAGAAAAACCAATCAGTAGAAACAGAACCAAAAATTAAGATGGTAGTATTGTCAGTCAAGGACTTTAAAATATATATTTAAAAGATATTCAAGAATTTAAAGGAGCCAGGTGTGATGATTCATTCCTGTAATCACAGCGGTTTGAAAGGCCAAGGTGGGAGGATCCACTGAGGCCAGGGTTTCAAGACCAGCCCTGGAAACATAGTGAGCCTGGTGACAAGTGCCTGCAGTCCCAGATGTGGGAGGATCACTTGAGTTAGAGGCTGCATGCAGCAAACTATAAACGCACTCTTTCACTACATGCTGGGCAACAAAGTGAGACCCCATTTCTAAAAAAGAAAAAAAAAAAGAATTTAAAGAAAAGCATGAATAGAGTGATTATAGAAATAGAAGATATTGTAATTCAAAACATAACATTTCCAGATCTCAAACAGTAATACCTGAAATGAAAAAAAATTCCTCAACAGGCTTAATATCAAACTGTATAATATAGAAGAAAATGTTTCAATGAAAAAGAGGGCATTTGAAGCCTTTGAAATTGAAATATCAAGGGGGGAAAGGCAGAAAAAAAGGAAACTAAAGGGAGACTCAGTCACTTGTGGGAGAATAGCTAGTAGTTCAATATCTCTGTAATTGGAGTTCTTTAAGGGGGCGGGGGCAGAAGAAATATTTGAATAAATGATTTTTTAAAACTTCCAGACTCAATGAAGAAAATTAACTCATAAACTAAGCTCAATGAACAATAAGCAAAATAAACAAAGAAATACCAAGATGCATTAAAATAAAATTATTATAAAAATCCTTGAATAAAACAATTTAAAATTGGCCAGAAAAAAACGTACCATTACACGTAAGGAAATTAAGGGAAGAGTAACCAATAGAAATTAGCAAAAAACATCCAAAAAAGCAATGAAATAATAACTTAAAAATGCATAAAGACAAAAAGCCTGTTAACATAGAATTACATATAGTTAGTATGTTCTTATATCAGTTATCTATTGTTGATATTATGTATGTATAATAGGAAATGTTGATACTCAAGTGAGAAATCTTTTGGGATAGATAATTTGTTTGAAATGGCTCAAATTTCCACCATGGATTATTTTTAAATATATGGTTTAACTTTAAGAAGATTATGGCCTTCCTAGTTACCTTTCTGTTATTGATTTCTATTTGATTCCATTGTGGTTACAGGGAACAAGACAAATGAGTCCAATCTTTTAAAATTTATTTAGGTGTTTTTATGGCTCAGTACGTTATCAACTTTGGAAAATCAAACCAAGTGTTCTTTAAAAGAATGTGAGTTCTGTTATTATTGATTGCTGTGTTCTCTATACAGATGCTGGGTAAACTTATTAGTGTTGTCTGGATCTTCTTTATCCTTGGTGGTTTGTCTTTCTGCTTGTCTTACTAGCAATTGGATAGGTGTGTGTATTCCTACTATAATTGTGGATTTGTCTGCCTCTACTTTTTATGTCAGTTATTGAAATTTTTATTTTGATGTAAGATTAGCTTTATATGTAGTTGTGAAAAATACAGAGATTATATACATATGTGAATGTATATAATGTACATATTATGTATTATTTTATATATTTAGTATTATGTAACATAACAATATTACGTTATATATACACAACATATATTTTATGTCACAATGTACTTGCATTGGCATTTTACTTCGAGTACAGTATAGAAACCTTACTTCCATTAAATTGCTTTACCCTTCTGACTTTTAAAATATAACTGACTTAAGTATTTCCTCTATACACGAGAACCACATCATGTAGTGTTATAATATTTGCTTCAACCTGTAAATATGATTTAAGAAACCCAGGAGAAGAAAATATATTTACAGATGTTTTTACCCAACTCTGTGTTCTTCTTTCATTCCTGAATTTCTAAAACTTCTGCTTTCATTTCTCTTCTGTTTAAAAAGTTCTTTAGCCATTCTTTAGAAGTAACAACTTTTTTTCTTATCTTTCCTTGTAATTTCTTTGTTTCCTTTTCATTCCTGAAGACCATTTCAGCAGCTATCAAACACAGTTGACAGTATTTTTCTTTCCGTAGTTGATGTTGTACCACATCCTTCTGACCTTAATAGTTTTAGATAGGAAACCTACTGCAAATTTATATAAGTAATATGCTGTTACCTTTTGGCTGCTTTCAAAATTTTTCTCTGTATTTCGTTTTCAGAAGTTTATGATGTTTTGGTTTGAACTTATTTTACTCTGTATGAGGTTCACTCAACTTTGAAATCATTCATATCTGTCGCTAAATTTTGGACGTTTTAGCCATTATCTCCTTGAATATTTTTTTCAGTCTCTCTCATTTCCTTAGATATGGAGAATATATACAACTATTCATGTTATCTTCCCCCATGCTATGAGTGTTAGTTCTTTTGCTGTTTTTACACAGATCCCTGAGACATCTTTTTTTTTTTTTCAGTTTATATTCTGGTTTTCACATTGTGTAAATTCTATTGATCTGTAGCTCACTGATTATACTATCTATCATCCGCATTGTGCTCTTGAGCAAATTCAGCACATTTTTGTTGGTGTTATTTTATTTTTCAATTCTATAATTTCCGTTTGATTCTTTTTATGACTTCTATTTTCCTAAGATTTTTATTTTTTCAAACAAATATGTCATTGCTTGTTGAAACATTTTTATGACATTTTCTTTAAAATCCTTTTTGTTTCTTTTTTTTCTTTTTGAGATGGGGTCTCACTCTGTCGCCCAGGCTGGAGTACAGCAGCTCGATCTCAGATCACTGCAACCTCTGCCTTCTGGGTTCAAGTGTTCCTCCTGCCTCAGCCTCCTGAGTAGTTGAGACTACAGGCACATGCCACCACGCCTGGCTAATTTTTTGTATTTTTAGTAGAGAGGGGCTTTCACTGTGTTAGCCAGGATGGTCCCGATCTACCGACCTCATGATCTGACCACCTCAGCCTCTCAAAGTGCTGAGATTACAGGCGTGAGCCACCGCGCCTGGCCCGAAAGTCTTCTTCTTCTTTTTTTTTTTTTTTTTAATCAAAAAGACCCTTTTGAAGCTGCAGCAAACTTCTAACCACCCTACTCTGCCCTATTGATGCTAGGTGAGTGTGTAGACACAGCACCTACTACTGTGCCCTTCAGGAGCCAGGTTAAAGATTACTGGTGACTAGCCTTGCCTTTCATCACCTATTAAGTAATTGTAATTGCTGGATGCAGGAGACTCAGCTTGTTGATGAACCCATTGATTGTTTCTGTAAGAAGTAAAGAGGTAGGTAACTGAAACATCCAACTTCATTTTGGTTTATGATAATTTTCACTGATTTAGAGAGAGAAAAAAGAAAATTAAACTGTTAGAAGAATTCATATGTGCTCATAAAACTCCAATATTTCTGTTTGTTTGTTTTACAGAATTCGGCCTAAGTAAGAAAGAAATGTATTTATCAGGCTAAAAAGATCCATAAGTGAAAATTTAGCTTGGGTTCAAAAGGAAGGTATCTGAAATAACTTTGCTGCTTTGGCACTAAATACTTATTTTGAGAATAGGAGGATTTTGAGATTGGGATTGGCTTAAGGAAAATGAAAAGCTATTACTTACATTGCTTACTCATTGACTATTAGTAAGAAAAAGAAAAGGATAGACAACCTACTTGTTTAAAGGTTTGGAATTCCTGCAAATAGAAATAATCTTTGCACAAAATATCTGTACTGTTTTTGTTTTCCATATTCAAATCATGATTGGTAAAATACGTATCATGGACACACATATTATTCATTTCTATATTTAATATAAAAAGAAATACTGTTTTTTTAAAGCCTTCATCTCATACCTGAGTAAAAGTGAAAATATAAGACTCCAAAACAGATGACATTTTAGATATTTTATCAGTCTAAGTGATCTCAAAACTTTACACCTGAAAATGTGAAATAGAAGAAACAGATGTTTAGTGTTCACTAAATTTCCTCTGTTCTATAAAAGTATAATGAATATAAGAATAGATTCAGTAGAAGTGAGTCTTCTAATAAATGGAATACAAAGTATCCTTATTTCTAAAATCCCTTTCTAAGAACAATTCCTGAAAAAATTAGATGTCAACATATGTGAAAGCCTTGTGATTTTATGAGACAAGTCATGCTGATAAGTCTTTGCCTGCAGTTGTGAAAAATAATGCAAGCGAAATATTTGCAAATTGTCCTATCTGATTTACAGTGTGTCATGCAATTTGATCAAGCGAAACCTGTCAAATGTATTATTCATAAAAAGGATCATATCAATATGATGTTTTATTGTTAACATTCAAAGTATAGGGAGAAACAACAGTTATTTGAGAATTTTTCTTTAATTTAACAAGCAAATATGTACATAATTGCAGGAAGATGATACACTTTGAGTGGCAGCCATGGTAATGATTTCAAACAAACAAAATAAAATGTATATTGTGGCCAATGCATAACAGAGAAAAACGTTTAAAGGGAATAGAAGTTGCACACTTCTATTATATGTACAATTTGACATGTCTCTCCCTCTTTGTTAATTTCTCCTACCTGTTTAACCATTACAGCTTAATCACACACAGGATTTCTTTTTTTCATCACTTTTGTTTCTACACTGGTTTTACTCAGAAATTTGTACTCAGGTTCCTCTCATCCCACACATCCACTATTTATGGTCTCAATAATAATTACATTGGTAGATAGACAGACATATAATAGGTAGAGATAGATGATGTAGACATAGATATTCTAAATATATATATTAACTATGGATTTGTATTTACAATTACCTCCTAGAAAGACACAGAAGGCAACAGAAATTGAAAGAAATAATATTCAATAATATTGTGTTTCATATGGCAAAATCTCTAAAGGTTTCTTAATCATTATGTATCTATATTGATTTCTTTTACACCTTTAGTTAAAAAGATTGATAAGAATGCAAACATGGTTTAGAGATAAGTGATGCAAAAATTTTAGAATAAAAAGTAATATTTTTCACATTTTCATTGAATTCATGAGCATGCCTTGAATTATTAGAAAAAAAGTGTCATGAGAACAAAATAACAATCATTTTGTGCTTTAAAAACTAGGCTATTAATCAACTTATATCAAAATGAGAGTATATAAAGATATAAAAATAATTCTGAACTTCAAACTATTTTTAGGAGATTTACCGTTGCCAGGGAAAACAAAATTATCTTCTTTTTGAAAGCACTAAGTAATGAATAGATTAAGTCAGCTGATCCTAGAAATGGAGATGAGACACACTGACTTCTCTTTTATAAAGCTTATTTCATAAAAATATTGAACATTCCAATCGCAAGATATAAAAACACGGTGTAAGTATTTTTCTTTTGTCAATTTTTTTCATTAGCCTTTGAACAGGATACAAACATGACAACTTTAAAAGTAATTTATGATTTCCTTTCAATGAAGTTTCCTTGTAGATAGAGCTTGTATCTCATGTCTGACTCTGAAATACTAGACTTATGTAATGATACAGCAAATAGAGGCACCCTAGAGGAATCTGATGTAAAGTTTGCTGCTGAAAGAGAGTTTTTACAAGGTGGAAGATCATCTGAAGCCCTGGAAGCCAGTGTGTTATTTGTCTCAAGTAGTTAAAACTCACATGTCACCACAGCCTCTCGGATACATTGTCTGGAGAGAACATGTAAAGAGAGAGTCTGCTAAAATAAATAAATAAGCAGTTGTACTATTTTGATACCCAGGTAACAAAGTATGGGGCAGGTAGAGACAGGAGAGTTCTTTCCACTTCAAGGTAGAATAGGGCATGGCTTAAAACCATGACATGTCAAGGAACAGAAGGACTTTTATCAAAGCTTTCCTTTGTTATAATGGAGGACTGGTAGCAGTAGCAGAATACCATCTCAATTGGCTTCTGAGACAGAAGTCAATGAGGGAGGCTGGAGTAAAAGGACACAAAAGGATTATGTTTGTGACATACCCCTGTTGGACGAATAAATAATTTGAAGAGAGAAATTTGAAGGAATTTGATATTCTAGTTTACATAGATAGTGAAATGCTCTTGGTTACTTTTAATGTGGTCTAATTTATACCTATATAAGAGGGAAAATCACATCAGTAATTACAATGTATGTCCATTACAAAACATTTCATCAAAGCACTTTTGCTGAGGCATATTTAATCTGGATAAGACATTAAATGTGTTCACAATAATGAGAACTACCCTATTTTTGCCACCGAACACCATGAGTCATATTATATTTTTGTCTCTTTTCACATCTGTAAAGTAAACATAATTGCAATGAACTCAGTTTGTGTCATTAACATCTCTAGCAAAATATATAGAATAATATAGTAATACTGTATCTGAGCACATTAAAGAAATGTTGTTTTGTGTTGGCTGCGATGGCTCATGCCTGTAATCCCAGCATTTTGGGAGGCTGAGGCTGTAGGATCACCTGAGGTCAGGAGTACAAGACCAGCCTGGCCAACATGGTGAAAACCGTCTCTACGGTTTCTAAAAATACAAAAAAATACGTCTCTAAAAATACAAAAAAAAAAAAAAAATTAGCTGGACGTGGTGGCGCATGCCTGTAATCCCAGCCACTCTGGAGGCTGAGAAGGGAGAATCATCTGAGCCCAAGAGGGGGAGGTTGCAGTGAGACGAGATCGCACCACTGCGTTCTAGACTGAGTGACAGAGTGAGACTCTGTCTCAAAAAAAAAAAAAAAAAAGGAAAAAAATAAATGTTGTTTTGTGAATATTTTAATTCTTATATGCTACATTTATTATATATTCACATTGGATGCAAATTTTCACCATTTAATTAGTTAATTTATAATTATTAACTGTTTGGCAACTGTACATCATAAGAACACATCTTACACTAAGGAAGCATTGCTATTTGTGGTATATTCTATTTCATAATAATAAAAAGTAAATATACAGTAACTCTTTGCTGCCTGATAATACCATCTGCACTTTTAAATGCATCATCATTGAAGTACCAAAGTCATTACTAGGAATGATACTTCCCATTTTTAAAGATCCAGACATCCAGAAAAGGTTTTTCAGTGAGTATAGTTGAGTCAAATATGAGAGATAGATTGTTCCTGCTGCTGAGAAAACATTAATATTTTTCAGTAATCAGATGACGTATAGACTAAATTAGGTTCTGGAAACATTTTTTAAGACTGTTTTAGATGTTCTACATTTTGATTAATTATGTATTTATTACAACATTTATTAAATTATAATCAAATACAAGGCTGTGAACCATAGAAAGAAACCACCGTGTATACAGAGTAGCCAAATTGAAGTAATATATGAGGTAGCATTTTTGCTAAAATTATAAGACAAAAAGATGTCACAAAATAAAAATACCCTTGTAATCATCTCAAGAATGAAATGTGAAAGGAACGATGATAACATACACTTTATTATGTCAGAATAAATTATTTGAGAATATTTTCCTGCTACATTTTGTCTGTGAAAACCAACTACTCATATTAAGAGGTCGTCAAGGGAGGAAGAAATTATACTTAATTCTTTTCAGCATCTCTGAACAACCTCAGACAGCCATCAGCCTCCTAAAAGAAGAAAAGCAAACCGAGTTCATAGAGGCAGTTCATGGACAGGCCTAATTACTGAGGGGAAAATTGTCAGTAAAAATCTATTTTGAAACAATTTCATTATTTAAACAGTCAGCTCTGGGATAGCTTGAAGAAAACCATAATAGTCTCCTAGTAAAGCTATAGAATTGAGGAACAATTACACTCCAGCTCTTAGACCTATTAGTAGCTGTATCCAGCCTCTAAGGACTGTGCTCAACTTTGTCAAACACAGTTCAGAGAAGAGAACAAAGGAAAAACAAACAATTTTTAAAAGAGAAAGGAGCACAGGATTTAATCAGGCAAACTTAGTTGGTGACACTTACAGAAAAATGACCTAAATTATATTACACAAACTTCATGAACTGAGATGAAATTGGAGCTTATACTAATGACTACTTTAAAAAATATAAACTACAAAATAGTAGAAGCATTATTTATTTGTACATTTGAGTTTCTGGCATTGTCCTAGGTGTAATATGTCCATTAAATCCTTTAAACAACATACTAATCATAAAAGTAAACATTTTTATATCTTTTTTTTTCAGTGAAGAAATTGATGCTTTGAAGCACTCCATGTCTTGAATTATTTATACGTAAATTTAGCTCCAATAGTTCTCCTGTTTCAGATTCACAAACCTTCACTGTATGAACGATTCAGAAGGGGGGTATTTAAATAAAATTGAAGTAAATTAAGGGATATTTCAATAGACTTCCTAGGCTTGAGAGCTGTGGTGGGGCCTAGATTTGATTTAATAATTCCCCTCATTGTATGGATACTTTACAAAACACTATGTCATCCCTTCTTCCCAACTATTAAATTGCATATAGAAATGCTAGCCCAAGGGCTAATACCCAAGAACAGACTTTAATTAAATACTGAAAAGTGTATATGAATATTCCAGATGTTTTTATTTTCAAATAGTATACAATTCCTGAAGACAGGCATAGTATCTTTTTAATGTGTAGCTTTCATAATCTCTACTCTAGTATCATAGGAATAGAAGACTGTAATTTGTTTTGAATTTTTCTTTTCTACTATTTTGGTAGTCCTAAAGACAGGAGTTGGATTTAATCCTTACAGGTGCCTTTGGTGGAGGCACTGCAATGAATATATTAGCTCAATATTAGCCTTTATGTAAAAACAAAACATTTTATAGAGGAAAATCATGTATTTTAGTGCCTTGGAACACTGTCTTCCCTATCTGACTTCCTTTGTTAGAATTCTAGCTTTAGTCTTACTACATCTGTTTGAGCCAGCTATATAGACTCTCAAGGTCTCTATTTTGACTTTGTAATATGGAAATAATCGCCAAACCTATATATAAATAATTGATGATTGTTAAATTGTACATAAAATGTATTAGACTTACTGCTTAGCACACAGTAGTAACTCAGCAATTGTTCATTTTTATGTTGCTCTCATCATCAAGAGTATCCCATAATTTTTCAATTCTGTGTGTAGTATTTTATTTTGCCTCAGTAACGAATTGCCACAAATTTAGTGGCTTAATGCAACACAAATTCCTCATAAAGCTCTGGAGGTCAGATGTACACAGTAAGTTTTACTGGTCTAAATCAAATTGTTAACAGAGCTTCATTTCTTTTGTTGATTCCAGGGGAGAATCAGTTATCTTTCTTTTTTTTTAGCTCCAGAAATCCACTTGAATTCCTTAGCTCATAGTCCCTTCTTCTATTTTCAAAGCTAAAAGCATAATATCATCAACTTTCTCTCAAACTCCAACCCTCTTGTCTTTCTCCTTTACCTACAAAAATCTCATTTGGGCTCATTTGTATAACCCAAGACATTTTTCCAATTTCAAGATTTAATTAATCACACCTTCAAAATCTTTTGCCATGTAAGTTTTAGGAGATTAGGAAGTAGATATCTTTTAGAGAGGGAGAGGGAAGTAAAAATTCTGCCTACCATAATGCCCCTAGTGGATTCAATGCTGGCTTTATTGCCTTCAATAAACTTAGCATGATCTATTCAGGATATTTTACTTAAGTAAAAAATATTTGGTCGAACATATAAAGCATTTTGAAATGCTAGAATTTATAGTTCCCCTAAAGCAATACAACTGCGAAAGGTAGGCACAGATTGATTATATGCACAAGCATAAAATCTTAATGACATCTCATTGATATCCACTTAATTGTATCTGGTATCCAGGGGACGTCTCAGGGAGTGCTACTCCATTATTCAATAGGGTAAAATACTTTGTGAATGCCACCAAAATGAATTACTGTTTGTCCATTTGAGGCGGGGGGGCAATGAGGCAAAGAATTAACCTCCAACTAATTTCCAGTCATTTATGAGCTGATAGTTAAATAATTTACTGCTGTAGGCATCGGACCCATGGAGCATTTGCAAAAATGCAAGTTGTAGGATGTAAGAAACATTATCACCTGTGTCATGACAGTATTTAAAACCTATTTCCTTATTTATCTTAAGATCTCAATATCTCCTGAGCTTCAGGACATTTACATTTTAATTTTATTATTAAAAATGTTTCTAAAGCCAACAAGAGCTTCCCATGTTCTCTAAAGCGAACTAAATTCTTTTAGTAGCTTCACTAAATCATTCCAAAATTTAAATTGATGTTAACGTTAAAATCTGAATTCTGGTTAATATTACATTAAATTTCTTTGACAGGAAGCATAAACCACTCCTATAAATTTTGACTTGTATAGATGATGAGTTATGATAAAGGAATCAATTGCCTAAGATAAACACACTTCATAATGTCCTAATAGAGTTTATGCCCCAGTTGTCTATTAAATTCTAAGATAATGAAGCAGATCTTACAAATATATTAATTGAAGTTCTACTTTGGTCAATAATTGCATGGACTTTATAATTTGTTTTGACTTTTTAAATATTAAAAGAAAGCACCTAGTGCCTTCCCACCTGACATAGAAAGAGCTTGAAAGTCACTATGTCCATCTTATCAAACCAGAAAAACCTGCAGAATCTGAAAAGTCAAGAACTCTTCTTAGATTCATCAGAGAATTAAGATCATAGACAAACTTGTATCCCGAAAACCAAAGAAACAGACAAGTAGATATGGAGAATTACAACTTACCAGGAGCAAAAGCCTGGGGACTAAAGCCCACAACTGTAGCCAACAAAAGTAAGGAAACTAAATTGTGATTGAGAAATGGCTGGAGGGTCAGTGAAGACTAGCTTGAAAATTAAAATCTCATAGGAGCCCAGTCTTGGTAGGAGCCACAGTTTCATGAGTTTTACCTTCAGGAGTCCAACCAGGCCCTCACAGTAAAAATCTGCGAAATGTGCATTCCAAGCAGCCGGAGAGGAAAAGGTAACCATTGTGAAATAAACACAGATATTTCCACTCACCTTAACATGGCATAACTCAAATGAAATTACTTAGCCAAAGCCAAACTGGTTGAAGTTTTCTAGAATCGAACTGATTTGGGGGATGTGAAATACCCAACTCTGGCTCACTAAAAGGTTGAGTACCTAATCATAAAATTATATAATGTTTCACAATGTCCCACACCTTACCACCACATCAGTAGGGTTCCTGTATGACAGTAGGGTTTATAACTTAAAAACCTTAAAGCCTCAAACCCTATTTAACTATATAAAAAGTCTCTAGGTAAGTTAGCTGACAATGAGGGAGACAAAAGCAAGTACACTAGGAGAAATTTTAGCCTCTGACACACCATAACTACAGCAAACACTAAAAACAATTTAATTTCTAGCTGAATAAATATAAGATCTCACACCAGAGTTCTGTCTATATCAGTCCCCTTTGCTGGATACATCACTTCCAGCTTTCAACAAAATTACAGGAATGCTCAAAGACAACACAGTCTGAAGAGACAAAGTAACATTAGATAAAGACTCAGATATGGCAGAAATTGGAATTATCACATAAGACATTTAAACTGCTAAGATAAATATTCTAAGGGATCAAATAAGAAAAATATACAACATGGTTATTGTAAGCAAAGAGATGAAAACTAAAAAATCACAATGAAATGCTAGAAATCAAAATACTGTTAGGAGAAATTAAAAATATATTGGATGAGCTCATCACTAGACTACACATGAAAAAGGAAAAGATCAGTGAGCTAGAATATTGTAAATAAAAAGAAACTTCCAAAACTGTAAGCCAAAGAGAAAAAAGGAAGAGAAAAGATAGAACAGAATACCAAAGAACTGGGAACAAATTCAAAATGCATAACATGTATAATGAAAATACCAGAAACAGAATAGAGAAAATACAAAAAAGAAAATAGGGTAGAAAAAATAAGAAATGTTTGCAGTAATCATAACAGAATTTTGCAAAATTAATGACAGATATGAGCACAAACTCAGGGGTTTCTGAGAACATCAAGAAGAATAAATACTAAAAAGCTATACTTAGGCATATTATATTTAAACTGCAGAAAATCAAAGACAGGAAAAAATGTTGAAGGAAGCTAGAGAAAAAAAAAATGCCCTTATCTACAGAAGAACAAGGGTAGGAATTATATTGGATTTTTCTTCAGAAACCATTGCAACCAAAAAGAGAGCGGAGTGAAATATTTAAAGTGTTGAAAGAAACAACCATCAACCTACAATTCTGTATCAAGTAAGATTATTCTTCAAAAGTGATAGAGAAATAAAGTCTTTCTTAGTAAAACAAAAACTGAGGGAATTTGACAGTAGATTTGTCTTGCAATAAATGTTTACAATGGGTCAGAGAGAAGAAAATCATATTGTTCAGAAACTCAGATCTACATAAAGAAAGAGGGTTCAAGAAGAAATAAAAAAGGTAAAATATAATTAATTATTACTGCTTTTGATATATCCCATACATTTTGGTAAGTTGTGTTTCCATTATCATTTGTTTCAATAAATTTTTAAATTTCTTTCTTATTTTTTCCATGGACCTACTGGTCATTAGGGGTATATTGTTTAATTTCCCTGTATTTGCGTGGTTTCCATAGTTCCTCTTGTTATTGATTTCCAGTTTTATTCCACTCTGATCAGAGGAAATGTGATTTCAGTATTTTTTAAATTTTTTAGGACTCGTTGTGAGGCCTAACACATGGTCTTTCCTTGAGAATTATCTGTGTGCTGAGGAGAATAATGTGTATTTTGCAGCTGTTGGATAAAATGTTCTTCAAATATCTATTAGTTCCATTTGGTCTGCATTACAGATTATGTCCAAAGTTTCTTCGTTGATTTTCTGTCTGGATGATCTGTTTAATGCTGACAGTGGAGTGTTTACTCATCAACTATTGTTATATTGAAATCTATCTCTCTAATAATATTTGCTTTCTATATCTGGGTGTTTGTAGGTACGTATATATCAGCATTGTGTATATATATTAGAATTGTTCTATCTTCTTCCTGAATTAATCTCTTTATCATTACATAATGACTGTCTCTTTTTATATATTTTTTTGCCTTGAAATCTATTTTATCTGATACAAGTATAGCTACTCCTGCTTTTTTTTTTTTGTTTTTTGCTTTCTATTTGCATGGAATATCTTTTTCCATCCCTTTATTTTCCATCTCTGTGTGTGTTTATAGGTGAAGCATGTTTTTTGTAGGTAGCAGATCATTGGAACTTGATTTTTATCCATTCAGCCACTGTATGTCTTTTGATTACTGAGTTTAGTTTATTTAAATTCAATGCTATTATTGCTAAGTAAGTACTTACTCCTGACATTTTGTTATTTCCTGTTTGTTTTGTTGTTTCTTTTTTCTTCCTTTCTTTCTTCCTTTCTCTGAAAGTGCTTTTCTCTGGTGGTATTTTAACATTTATTGCTTCATGTTTTTGTGTATCAGTTGTATGTTTTTCTGATTTGAGGTTACTCTGAAGCTTGCAAATATCTTATAACCTGTTATTTTAAACTGATGACAACATAGATTGCAAAAACAAACAAAAAAGCAAAGAGATAGCTAATAGAACTTTACACTTTAACATCATCTCCTCACTTTTTAATTTTTTTGTTTCTATTTATGTCTTACTATACCATCTATGTCTTAAATGCTTGCTGTTGTTATTATTTTAGATAGGTTAAATTTTATTTTTCCTACTCAAGATATTAGCAGTTTACACACCACCATTATTGCCTTATAATATTCTGTATTTGTCTGTGTACTTGCTGTTACCACTGAATTCTGTACCTCCTGATGATACTGTTCATTAACATCCTTTTCTTTCAGGTTGAATAAGTCCCTATAGCATTTTTTATATGATGGGTCCGATGTAGATAATTACTTTTGCTTTTGTTTCTATGCGAAAGTCTTTAATTATCTTTCATGTTTGGAGGCTTTCACTGGATATAATATTCCAGGATAAAAGGGTTTTTTTTTTTCTGTTTTGTTTTTTCCTTCAACTCTTTAAATATATCATGTAAGTTTATCTTCTGACCTGTAAGGTTACCACTGAAAAAGTCAGCTGCCAGACGTACTGAAACTCCTTTATTTTTCTTTTCTTTACTCTTCCTGTTTTTAGGACATTTTTTGTATCCTTGACATTTGGGAGTTTGAGCTTTAAATGTCTGGACATGGTGCTATTTGTATTAAATCTGTATTATAACCTTCTTTTACTTGAATATTTATATCTTTCTCTAGATTTGAAAATTTCCCTGTTATTGTCTCTTTGAATAAACTCTCTTACTCTGATCTTTCTCTCTACCTTCCCTTTGAAACCAATAAATGTTAGATTTGCCCTTGTTTGAAAAAAAAGGTTATTTTTCAAATCTTGTAGCTGTGCTTCCTTATTTTTTCTTTCTTTTTTTTTTTTTTAATTTTACTTTAAGTTCCAGAATACATATGCAGAACGTGCAGGTTTGTTACGTAGGTATACGTGTGCCATGATGGTTTGCTGCACGTACTGACCCATCATCTAGGTTTCCTCCCCTCACCCCCTCCCCGCAAACAGGCCCCAGTGTGTGTTGTTCCCCTCCCTGTGTCCATGTGTTCTCACTGTTCAACACCCAATTATTAATGAGAATATGTGGTGTTTGGTTTTCTTTTCCTGTGTTAGTTGCTGAAGATGATGGCTCCAGATTCATCCATGTCCCCGCAAAGGGCATGATCTCACTCCTTTTTATGGCTTCATAGTATTCAATGGTGTATATGTACCACGTTTTCTTTATCAAGTCTGTCATCAATCAGCATTTGGGTTAGTTCCATATCTTTGCTATTGTAAACGGTGCTGCAATAAATACACGTGTGGATGTGTCTTCATAGTAGAATGATTTCTATTCTTTTGGGTATATAAATCTAAATCCCAGTAATGGTTTTGCTGGGTCAAATGATATTTCTGGTCCTTGATCCTTGAGGAATAGCCGAACTGTCTTCCACAATGGTTGAACTAACTTAGGTTCTCACCAACAGTGTAAAAGCATTCCTATTTCTTCACAGGTTCGCCAGCATCTACAATTTCTTGACTTTTTAATAATTGCCATTCTGACTGGCACGAGATGGTATCTCATTGTGGTTTTGATTTCCATTTCTCTAATAATCTGTGATCTTGAGCTTTTTTTCATATGTTTGCTGGCCATATGAATATTTTCTTCTGAGAAGTTCCTTTTCCTATCATTTGCCCACTTTTGGATGGGGTTGTTTGTTTTTTTCTTGTAAATTTGTTTAAGTTCCTTGTAGATTCTGGATATTAGACCTTTGGCAGATGGATAGATTGCAAAAATTTTCTCCCATTCTGTAGGTTGCTTGTGTCCACCACAGCTGGGAATGTGCTGGATCATGCCTGAAGCCAGCACAATACTGGGTCTTGCCCAAGGCCTGTGGTGACTCCTGCCTGATTATCATTGATATTTATTCAAGGTTCAAGGGCTTTTTCATCAGCAGGTGGTAAGTTCTGCCAGGATTGGCTCTTTCTTTTCCGTTTCCTTCTAGCCCAGGGTGGGTCTATATATTTCATTCAAGCATTATGGATTGGAAAGGAGGCTTCAGGACCCTGCTTGGTGCTTTATTTTACTGTGGCTAAATTGGCATCCAATTGCAGTATAAAGGTCTTCTTACTCTTCCCCTTCCTCCAGAAGCTGTTAGCTGTGCTGTCTGGAATTGGAGGAGAGGTGATAAAAGGACTCCCTTGGTCACCCCAACTCAGTCTGACCAGGTCATTTACATCCCAAGTCCACTGGCTCTGAGCCCAGCACAGCATAAGAACATGCTGAGGAATTGCAGTCTTTGTGGCCTAGACTGCCTTCCAAGTTTGTTTAGAACCCAAGAGCACTTTAGCCCATGGTAGTGGGGCTAGTTGGAACTCAGTTCTGGGCTGCTGGATGGGCAATTTCCCTCTGGTTGGGATGGCCTAAATTCTCCCTTTGTGGGCACTGGCTGAGTACTGCCTTGTGTTGCTTTCCACTTTGACAGGTCAACAATGAGCACTAATGCAAAGTCCCACAATCACTGCACCTTCCCTCTCTAAAACACACATTCTCTCTCTGTGCCATGCAACAGCTGCCAGGGGATTGGGGAAAGGTGGTGTAGGCAATTCAAGACTGTCTTTCTTACCCTCTTCATTGTCTTTTTTTTCTTGATATGATGTTAAAACCAGGTGCTATGATCACTCACCTATTTTTTTGGTTCTTATGAAGGTGTTGTCTCATGTGGATAGTTGTTCAATTTGGTATTCATGCAGTGGGTTGGGAAAGGGCAATCGATGGAGGGTTCTACTCAGTCATATTGCTCTGCCTCCTTCTGTAGTCTTTCAGATGTGATGTTTGCATAAAATGAAATATAAAAATCTTACCTGTACATTGTCTGCATTTTCAAAAATCCTTACATCCTCATAACCCACTGTCAAGATACATAGTACTACAGCAACTCAAGAGAGTTATTTTATTTTATTTTTTCAGCAATCCCTCTTCCCAGATGCAATCATTGTTCCATTTTTTCTACCATGGATTACTCTTTTTTATAATTTTCTAAAAGCTGAATTATAAAGGTGTTATTTTATGTAAGACATCTTTCACTTAACATTATATTTTTGAGGTTCATTAATTTGGTGTAAATTAAAGTAAATCATTAATTTTTATTTCTTAGTAGTATTCTATTTGCAGTTATACCACAGTTTTTAATTCATTCTATTTATGATGCATATGGAGGCTTTGTGACGACGTTGTGGAAACTGAATTTTGTCACTTTTCTTTGAAGAGTGTTTAATTTCCTTTTTTATCAGGCAACTAACTTGACTATACTGATATTAGAAACTCAGTCTCTTCAATGACAGCACAAATCTGTTAAATGATTAAATGTGTAACTAGGTTATTTTCAGTCATTCCAAGGAATGCATTTTTCAAGGTTTAGTCAGGGATGAGGACATGGTTTATGCTCATAATGTGGTGATTCATCTCTCTGTCTTTCTCATCTCTCTGGCCCCCAACTCATTTCCCGTAGTTGTTGTTGTCCTGATTTATTTCCAGTAGTAAATTGGTCCAGAAAAACTGTGAGATTTCATTCAAAATTTTAGTTCACCTGCTTAGTGTAGACTTTATTTCCTATTAAATCCAATAAAACAGGAGAATCTTGCCTTGCCATTCCTTCTTAAAATTCTTACCTCTTTTTATTTTTTTCTCTTGGTACTTTTCCTTTAACTTCTACTTTTGTTTGTTATTTTTTTTACTTTGTATTTTTTCAGAGTTGTTGGATTATAACTCATTTTCATGAAAGCGTGGCACACTAAAATGTCAGCATTAGCAATAAGTTCAAATTTGCTCCAATGTCTGCACATTTTCTCAACTTAATTTCACTAGTCATAATATTAGATTCTACAGACTAATTCCACTGAGTATACATCACCATGATAATTAAGCATTCAGGTTCTAGAACAATTTGTAACATTCTTTTATAAATCAAAGATAATTGACTAAATTGCATTATATGTGAATTAGTGGCTATTTTATGCACAATTATACTTACAGTTTTTAAAAATATTGTTAATTTTTGTGGGTACTTAGTAGATATACATATTTATAAGGAACATGAGATGTTTTAATACAGGCATGGAATGTGTAAAAAATCATATCATGAAGAATGGGTTATATTTATCCCCTTAAGCATTTATCCTTTGTGTTACAAACAATCCAGTTAATACTCTTTTAGTTATTTTAAAATGTGCAGTTATTTTTGACGATAGTGACCATATTGTGCTATTAAATAGTAGGTCTTATTCATTCTTTCTAACTTTTTTTTTGTACCCTTAACCATTCCCACCTGCCCTCAACCCTCTACTTCCCCTCCCAGCCTCTGGTAACCATTCTATGGTTTATGACAATGAATTCAATTGTTTTGATTTTTAAATCTCACAGATAAATAAGAACATGTTATGTTGTCTTTCCATGCCTGCCTTATTTCACTTAACATAATGATCTCTAGTTCCATCAGTGTTGTTGCAGATGACTGGATCTCATTCTTTTTCATGGCTGAATAGTAACCCATTGTGTATGTATATATATATTACACTTTCTTTATCCATTTATCTGTTAATGGACACTTAGGTTGCTTCCAAATCTTGGCTATTGTGAACAGTGCTGCAGTAAACATTGGAGTGCAGATATCTCTTCAATATACTGATTTCCTTTCTTTGGGGTATATACCCAGCAGTGGGATTGCTGGATCATATGGTAGAGCTATTTGTAGTTTTTTTGAGGAACTTTCAAACTGTTCTCCATGTGGAAATAATAATTTATATTCCCACCAACAGTGTATGAGGGTTCCCTTTTCTCCACATCCTTGCTAGCATTTGTTATTGCCTGTCTGTTGTGTAATACATAAGCCATTTTAACTTGGGAGAGATGATATCTCATTGTAGTTTTGATTTTCTTATCTCTGCTGATCAATGACGTTAAACACCTTTTCATATGCCTGTTTGCCATTTGTATGTATTATTTTGAAAAATGTCTATTCAGATCTTTTGCCCATTTTTGATGAGATTATTAGATTTTTTTTCTTACAGAGTTGTTTGAGCTCCTTATATATTCTAATTATTATTTCCTTGGCAGATGGGTAGTTTATAAATATTTTCTTGCATTCTGTGGATTGTCTCTTCATTTTGTTGACTGTTTCCTTTTCTATGCAGAAGGTTTTTACTTTTTAACTCATTTGTTCATTTTTGCTTTGGTTAACTGTGCTTGTTGGGTCTTACTCAAGAAATCTTTGTGTAAATCAATGTCCTGGATATTTTTCCCCAATGTTTTGTTTTCATAGTTTAGGGTCTTAAATTTAAGTCTTTAATTCATTTTTACTTTGATTTTTGTATATGGCAAGAGATAAGGGCCTAGTTTCATTCTTCTGCATATGGATATTCAGTTTTCTGAGCACAATTTATTGAATAGAATGTATTTATTTCCCCAGTGTGCGTTCTTGGCACCTTTGTCAAAAATGAGTTCATATAGGTGTATGGATTTGTTTCTGGGATCTTTCTTCTGTTCCATTGGTCTGTGTGTCTGTTTTTATGCTAGTATCATGTTTTTGTAGTTATTGTAGCACTGTTTTGTAATTTGAAGTGAGGTCATGTGATTCCTATGGTTTTTTTTTTTTTTTTTTTACTTAGGATAGCATTGGCTATTCTGTGTCTTTTATGGTTCCATGTAACTTTTAGAAATTTTTTTTTCTATTTCTGTGAAGAATGTGATTGCTATTTTGAAAGAAATTGCACTTAATCTGTAGATTGTTTTGGGCAGTATAGACATTTTAACAATATTGATTCTTCCAATCCATGAATATGGAATATCTTTGTACTTTTTGATGTCCTCTTCAATTACTCTCATCAGTGTTTCATAGTTTTTTTTTAATAGAGACCTGTTACATCTTTCATTATGTTAATTCCTTAGTATTTAATTGCATTCATGACTATTGTAAATACAATTACTTCTTCATTTCTTTTTCAGATTGTTCACTGTTGGCATATAGAAATGATACTGATTTTTCTTTGTTGATTTTATGCCCTACAACTTTAATGAATTTGTTTATCAGCTCTAATAGATTTTTGTGTGTGTGTAGTCTTAGGTTTTTCCAAATATAAAATTGTATCATCTGTAAACCTGGATAATTTGACTTTTTCCTTACCAATTTGGATGCCTACAGTTACATTTTATTTGCTATTTTCTTCTCATGTAATCTTAAAAATCCCTTGAAGTAAATATTATTGTTACTATCTCATGACTAAAGTCACTGAAGTTGGAGAGGTAATGAACAACTGTAAAGAAACTATAACACAGATGATCTTTTTACCATAAGCCCTGAAATCCACCTTTTTAAATAGACTATTACCTCTGGTCAATACTTTGTAATTTTTTTCAAAGATCACGTAACAATGGGTCATAATTTGAGATTTTCTGATTCAAAATTTCAGAAAACCAAGGGTAATCAATAGTGTTTTATTTTTCTGTGAGATTATGTGCGTCTGTTTTCTGTATGCTTAATTATGTGAATTTGATGTTTAAAATATTGCAAAATTTGTTTTCAATTTTTAGTTTATTGCTTCCCAAAATCATTTTGTAGGGACACAAATTATGAACATATTTGTAATAGAATATTTAAAAAGAGGTATAGTATTGTTTGTCACTGGAGAGTGAAAAATTACATTACATTATTGTTGGCTCCTAGTGTGTATGAATGTAGACTTTGGAGAAAATAAATACATTTATAAATAAATTTATCCTAGCTACATGTACACGATTTAAGAAAAAAGCTGCAGTCTAACTGAATGTTACCCTAAAATTTAGAACATCCTATTTTCTTTAGATAAGGATATATTTCCATCCTTTTCTAGGATAATAACTTTTTCTTCATATAAAAATATTTATTGAATAAAAGTAGGCTAGGGAGACAATTACCAAAAAAGATGTCTGGTAGTTCAGGATTAAAGAATGAGAACACTTAACAGTGTGATTATTGTCAATATTTCTATAAAATCTCCTATGCACTCTAGCAGTTAAATTAATCCACATCAGACAGAAAAGATAAACAAATGAGGGTGAAAGTAAAAGGAAATTGAAACTAAATGAGGAGGAAAAGAAAAATGAAGAATTTATTGGATTGTATTTGGACTACTCTTACCAAAATTGGGTAATCAAATAAGAGTTTAAATATGTGCATTTTCAAAAAACTGAGGACACTTTAACAGTGTTTTTTTTGGCATAGGATTACCAGATACAATATTTACTAATATCATCTAGTAATTTTTATTTAATTAATTTGAAGTGTTATTTACTTATTATCTGAACCTTTTCCTGCTTAAAATTATCATGTTGTACATGTAGAAAGCAGTCTCAGTTGCAGATGGTTACTACATCAGGAAAATATATTTGGAGGGATAATGAAATTAAAAATTTTAAATATAGATATATAGAAAATGAATAGTACAATTTGAGAGTTACTAAGAAATTTGCATATCCTTTAATAACTACTCCAACACTTGAAATGCTATTAAAACCAATAAAGGATTAATGAATAAAGTTCTTGCTTAACTCTAGATGGCTAAAAGAAAGCAGCACTTGTGACTTGTGAAAAACTCAGCAGCAGGGAAGATGCAACCTGTACTGGGAAAGGGAAGTGAGAGGGTTGGAATGGTAAGATGCTAGAGGTCAGCCTTTCCCTAAAATGAGAGTGAGTGACAAGATACTTATTAGATTTCTCATAAGCACTATGCCAAAAATAATCTTTATTATCTAGTTTTCTCTAGAATAATAGATGGGAATCTTAATGAAATAATATCCACCAACAAAAAACTAACATTTATCTCAAATGTAATATATACTAGAAATTGTTCTGAGCACTAGACTCGAGATATATTTTATCAATGCTGTACACTGAGAGTTTAGGCCTGTGCTTCTTAACTGGAGGTACTCAGCAGCTTGCCAGAAAGATATGTGTATCAAAATAGAAATGTTGGCATGTTAGCTCTTCCCAGAACCTCAGTATATTTAAGTTTCAGGGAACGTTTAAAGTCCAAGTAATTTGAAATGAGAAAAATGGTAAAAGAAACATGCTAACAAGAATGGAAAAATGCCTTAACTTTTTGTGACATTAATATACTTTAAAGAGCTTTTAGTTTGCAGTGGGATGCTTTAGACTAAGATTCCCCTACACACACACACACACACACACATACACACACACAGTGGCGTGTGCATGCACCTGTGTGCACACATATATCCCATTATTACAGGATACTGTGCTTCAACTAGAGGATTATTTCATTAAAAAATTTGCAAATTATTTTCAAACTAATTTCACAAGTAGCAATTTAATTGACTTTAAGCAGAATTTTATCTTTTCGTATTTAAAATATGTATTCAATACATATGTCGAAATTGCTCCCTCAAACAATGATGCACCTAACAAAGATAATGCAAACATACAATCTCCTGAAAATATTTTATGTATTAGAATAAGGAAATTAAGTATTCCCCAGTGTATTCAAATTTCTTCCATTAAATAGTAAATCACCATTGAATTAGATCCTGCAAGTAAAACAGATGGCAACAATAAACTGTTGTATCAACACATATCACATGGAAAAGGTTAATTGAAATACACCATTATCAGTTCAGAAAGCAAATATACAATACTAGTCTCAAAACATTAGACATAAGTCAAAGTTTTGGTTTTTTTTTCTACCTCAGTTCTACTAGTATGGTTATATTAATTATAATGGTTTTAGCTTTATTAAAAATAAGCATATAAAAGATTGATTTATTTTAAAAGTAAAATGTTCTTTGGCCCCTTAAAAAAGCATGTTATGCTCATGACATTTTAAATGACATTCAGATATGCTTTTAATCACAATGTGATTAAAGAGCAACTCTCATCTAATGATGGTAACAATTTGTTGATCTGTTTCATGTGCAAAGGCCAATAAAAATACTCAAGCCCAGGAAGTTTCTCAGGCACAGTTTTTTCAGAAAAGCATACAATTTTGTATCTATTCAAAATCACATGAAAAAGATAATGTTACTGTTGGCTGGCTCTTGCCCCCGAAGATTGGAAAAAAAATTGGTAAGAAAGTGGTCACCTTGTCACAAATTTCAACTTTGTAAACAGTACACATCTCAGTTATTTCATTCTTATGTTTCTTTCTCTTTTAATAATTTTTATCTCATTATTTCTTTGTGTATTTCATTTTTATAATTGTAGATAGCTCTATAAATGGAATTATTCTATGAAATTCTCAAAGATGTAAGATTGTAAATAGGTATATTATTTGTTTGTGTGTGTCAGGGTGTATGTTTGTGTGTGTGTGTGTGTTTGTGTGTGTGGTGGGAGGTGGTTTTTAAGCTTAAAGTCTTCAAGCTCCTTATTAACACGTTCCTCATTAACTTTTACTTATTCACATCTCAACTAATATTTACAGCTCCACTCCCTATGGTAGCGACTGACACTTCATAGTTGGTTTAAACTATTTTCAACTAAATAAATTAATATTTAAGTTTTTAATGTGCACCTATTTCAAGAATGCTTAGCAGTACTAGGAAAAATTATATATGACCATGTTAATTAATTATTCACAATATTTTTCTCAAAGTTCTTTTTATATTTTACAATTGCTGATGGAAATTACATGAATGTTCTAGTTGAGCTATAATATTTCACTGTCTAAACCAAAGCATACTATTTTTTTCAAATATGTAGTATTCATCACTCTTCTAATGTTACATCTCTAGTCACTGCACATATATCTGAATGTGGCCCCTATAGATTTCCCAACTACTGCCTAAACTGTCCTCTTAAAAATTAAATCTGTTCAGTCCATTCCATTGCCTAAAAAGGTTGATTTTTTAAATCTGTTCAGTCCATTCCATTGCCTAAAAAGGTTGATTTTTGTGGCAAAAAGAGAGATCTTGTATCTGTTTGTGGGAATATAGATTGGTATAGTCATTATGGAAAACTATAAGGAGGTTTCTAAAGAAATTAAAAACATGAAGTCCTTGCCCACGCCTATGTCCTGAATGGTAATGCCTAGGTTTTCTTCTAGGGTTTTTATGGTTTTAGGTCTAACGTTTAAATCTTTAATCCATCTTGAATTAATTTTTGTATAAGGTGTAAGGAAGGGATCCAGTTTCAGCTTTCTACATATGGCTAGCCAGTTTTCCCAGCACCATTTATTAAATAGGGAATCCTTTCCCCATTGCTTGTTTTTCTCATGTTTGTCAAAGATCAGATAGTTGTAGATATGTGGCATTATTTCTGAGGGCTCTGTTCTGTTCCATTGATCTATATCTCTGTTTTGGTACCAGTACCATGCTGTTTTGGTTACTGTAGCCTTGTAGTATAGTTTGAAGTCAGGTAGTGTGATGCCTCCAGCTTTGTTCTTTTGGCTTAGGATTGACTTGGCGATGCGGGCTCTTTTTTGGTTCCATATGAAACACCAAAAGCAATGGCAACAAAAGCCAAAATTGACAAATGGGATCTAATTAAACTAAAGAGCTTCTGCACAGCAAAAGAAACTACCATCAGAGTGAACAGGCAACCTACAACATGGGAGAAAATTTTCGCAACCTACTCATCTGACAAAGGGCTAATATCCAGAATCTACAATGAACTCAAACAAATTTACAAGAAAAAAACAAACAACCCCATCAAAAAGTGGGCGAAGGACATGAACAGACACTTCTCAAAAGAAGACATTTATGCAGCCAAAAAACACATGAAGAAATGCTCATCATCACTGGCCATCAGAGAAATGCAAATCAAAACCACTATGAAATATCATCTCACACCAGTTAGAATGGCAATCATTAAAAAGTCAGGAACCAACAGGTGCTGGAGAGGATGTGGAGAAATAGGAACACTTTTACACTGTTGGTGGGACTGTAAACTAGTTCAACCATTGTGGAAGTCAGTGTGGCGATTCCTCAGGGATCTAGAACTAGAAATACCATTTGACCCAGCCATCCCATTACTGGGTATATACCCAAAGGACTATAAATCATGCTGCTATAAAGACACATGCACACGTATGTTTATTGCGGCACTATTCACAATAGCAAAGACTTGGAACCAACCCAAATGTCAAACAATGATAGACTGGATTAAGAAAATGTGGCACATATACACCATGGAATACTATGCAGCCATAAAAAATGATGAGTTCATGTCCTTTGTAGGGACATGGATGAAATTGGAAACCATCATTCTCAGTAAACTATCACAAGAACAAAAAACCAAATACTGCATATTCTCACTCATAGGTGGGAATTGAACAATGAGATCACTTGGACACAGGAAGGGGAATATCACACTCTGGGGACTGTGGTGGGGTCGGGGGACGGGGGAGGGATAGCATTGGGAGATATACCTAATGCTAGATGACGAGTTAGTGGGTGCAGTGCACCAGCATGGCACATGTATACATATGTAACTAACCTGCACAATGTGCACATGTACCCTAAAACTTAGAGTATAATAAAAAAAAAAAAAAAAAATTTCATTGTACCAAAAAAAAAAAAAAAAAAAAAAAAAAAAGAAATTAAAAACATAGAACTACCATATGAACCAACAATCCCTTTTCTGGGTGTATACCCAAAAGAAATAGAATCACCACCTCATGAAGATATCTACACTCCCACATTCATTGCAGCATTATTCACAATAGCCAAGATGTGAAAACAACCTGTGTCCATCAACAGATGAAAGGATAAAGAAATGGTGGTATATTTTATACAATGGAATATTAATCAGCCCTAAAAAAAGAATGCCATCTTACCACTTGTCACAAGGTGGATGAGTCTAGAGGACCTTATGCTCAGCAAAATGAGCCAGATGCCGAAAGAAAAATATTGCATGATCTCACTTATATGTAGAATTTAAAAAATTCAAGTAAACAGAGAACAAACCTAATTATCAAGGGTAGGATGGGGTTGTGGAGCAAAATGGAAAGATGTAGGTCAGAGAATGAAAAATTGAAGATATGTAAAATAAACAAATCTAGAGATGTAATGTGCAATGTGAAGACACACAGGTAATAAAAACTGTAATAAATATGGAATTCACACGAAATGAGCAAATTGTAGCTGTTCTTGCCAGAAAACAACAAAAACATGAGATGATAGATATATTAATTTGCTTTACTTATAGTAACCATTTTACACAACATAATTTTGTATGCCCTAAATGTAGAATAAATGTAGGATATGCAAATATAGGGTATAGGTAAAGAAGAGCAGAAAGTTACTTTGATTTCTCAACACCACACTCTCTGACAAAGTCCTTAGGATTCAGTCTATAGTTAAAAATTAATTTATTTTATATGAACGCAATAAAATTTATTTTATACAAAAAGATGTTGATTTGGCTTCTACAATTTGTGCTAGCTTAAGTTGAACTACACTTTCTTTTTCTCATATGCTTCTACTACCAGCCACTATCATTTTTTTATAAAATGTCCTGGTCTTCCACTTCTAAACCTTTCCTGAAATTGTTTCTTCTCAGTGGACATTCTTTATTTTTACCTCCATACGTCCCATGTAAACCCATATAAATCTTTCAAGCCCAACTAAAATGCACTTGACTCAGCTGGCCATTCATCCATTCATTCATGCATCTCTAAATAGCTACCTAACTGGTTATTCTATGACAGGCACTGTGTATGCCATTTGGAATAAAAAGATAAAATAATCATACTGTTGTTCTGCAAAATCTTGCAGTTTATCAAGAGAATATACATGGAAATATAAAACTGGAATATATTTATTTTATCATCTAACAAAATAATATTTTAATGGATCTTGTACCAAATCTAATCAGGGGCAGTTACTAACTAACCTTCAGACTTTTCATTCACTTCCAGAATTCCTTGAAATAGTATTACAAAGATGTTTTCCCAGAATAACAAGCATGTAGATATTATTTATACATTGTTCTGAATTACCCAGGTGGTGTGACATGGAACATTTTTAGGGAGGCATTCGACAGGGAGAGCAAAATACAGAGCATACCTGAGAAATCTGTAATTAGAAGTATCCCTTCTAATCTATTCCATTATGATAAATATTTATATATACATATAATTACAGATATAAATATGAAATAAAACTGAGAAACATACTCATTAGAGAAAGCCTAAACAGATCTTTTCAGTTGGAATATATTTCTCTTTTCATTATATTACCATGGCAATTTTTCTGTACTATGAAATTACCTTGGTCTCTTAACTGTAAATTTCTAGAAGTAATTGCCACTATCATTTCATGGAAACAGCTGTTGTCAAGATTACCGAGCACATTTATCTCTTCTCTGTCCTCATCTCATTTTATCCTTCAGGGTCAATTGCTATAGTAAGGTAAATACTGCTTTTTTTCAGCACTATTATTTCTGGTCTTTTCTGAAAACATCCTTCTTTTTTTTTTTTTCTTTACTCTGTTTTCTATGCACTATTCACTTTTATCTGTGAGAAACTCCATCTTGTTCCTGCTCTCCTTTCCCCTCCCCACTTCCTCTTATGTCATCAATTCCCATAGATTTTCATATGATTTTAATGGTTGATGACTCACAAACTAATAACACTGTCAGATCTCTAAATTTAAATATGCAACTGTATTTGGATGTCTCCACATTGGCATTTAACAAAAGTCTCATCATTTACATTGCCACAGAATTTATTTTCCCTCAAATGTGATCTTAAGTTCCATTTTCTGTTGCCTCCTCAAACAGGAGGATTATGCACCCATTTTTCATGCATAAATATAATATTTTGTCTTGTTTCTCTCATTACTTTGTTTAGTTTAGTTTAGTTTAGTTTAGTTTTGTTTTGAGACCAAGTCTGGCTCTGTTGCCCAGGCTGGAGTGCAGTGGCATGATCTCAGCTCACTGCAACCTCTGCCTCCTGGGTTCAAGCGATTCTCCTGCTTCAGCCTCCTGAGTAGCAGGGATTACAGGTGCGCACCACCATGCCCAGCTAATTTTTGTATTTTTAGTAGAGACGAGGTTTCACCATATTAGCCAGGCTGGTCTTGAACTCCTGACCTCAAGTGATCTGCCTGCCTCGGTCTCCCTAAGCACTGAGATTACAGGCATGAGCCACCGTGCCCGGCCTCTCTCATTCCTTTCTTTTCTTTCAACATTCCCTGCATACAATCCATGACAAATTTATTTCAACTCTGTCATCAAAATTCAATTTTTAAGTATACTCTCTGTGTTCTATCTGTATTACTACCATTTAAAGATTCTTATTATTACTTATTTGCATGAATCAATGGCATTTTAATAAATATTCTTGCCACCTTTTTTGTTATTCTCCAATTGAGTCTGCAAAATAGCAAAATTACTATCAATATAAATTTAATTTTTCATGCAATTTTTAATATAAATTTATCCAATGGCTTCTCAATGTAACCAGAAATGAAAATCTCAACTGATTACCATGGACTACAAATTTCTGAATAATTTGTCTTCATTTTATAATTTTTCTCTCCTTTTGTGCAAGTTCATTACTGCACACCTTCAAAGACATTAATAGATTAATAGCTAATTTACTCCATACTTTTTTTTTTTGTTTTTGAGGTAGAGTCTCACTCTGTCACCCAGACTGGAGTGCAATGGCTCAATCTCGGCTCAGTGCAACCTCTGCCTCCCAGGATCAAGCTAATCTCCCGCCTCAGCCACCTGAGCAACTGGGATTACAGGCACCCACCACCACACCCAGCTAATTTTTGTAATTTTAGTAGAGATGGAGTTTAACTACGTTGGCTAGGCTGGTCTTGAACTCATGACCTCAAGTGATCTGCTTGCCTCAGCCTCCCAAAGTGCTGAGATTACAAGCGTGAGCCACGCACTGGGCCCCATACTTTATTTTCAAGGATGTTTGCATACCAGGCTGCCTTGAGCTGAAGTAGAAATAGAGATCTCTTTCTTCCTAAAGCTGATTTTCATGATATTTCAGAGTCATAGACAGAAAGACTCTCTCCAGAAGATGGAGATAGACCAATTTGCCAGTAGTCCTTATACAATGTTCAGTTTCTAATATTAGTATTCCCACTCTGGGTATAGGTAACATCTGAACCTTCTCACATTGCCCTGTGGGAATTGGGGCTTACACTGGAACTAAATGTCACCCTGGCTCCTGCTATAGCTGTGAATAATAAAATTGTATCTTCATCCTGACACAGATATTTTGTGTCTTTTGACAGTACCTGTACAATTGTGGTAGGCTAACCCATTAGTCTGCAGGTGCTAACACCTCAGATACTTGCACAGTTTCTGACTTGACAATTAACATTTTTATAATGTTCACTTTTCAGTTTAACCAACAGTCATCCTCATTCCTATGTCAATCTCTCTGCACATGTTCTTTCTTCCAGCTGGAATTATTTTTTCTCCTTCTGTGATATGGTTTGGCTGTGTTCCCACCCAAATCTCATCTTGAATTGTAGCCCCCGTAATTCCCATGTGTCATAAGAGGCACTCATTGGAAGGTAATTGAACCATGGGTGTAGGTCTTTCCTGTGCTGTTCTCATGGTAGTGAATAAGTCTCATGGTATCTGATGGTTTCATAAAGGGGAATTTCCCTGCACAAGGTTCACATTCTGTCTTGCCTGCCACCATGTAAGATGTGCCTTTTGCCTTCCACCATGATTATGAGGCCTCCCCAGCCACTTGGAACAGTGAGTCCATTAAACCTATTTTTTCTTTATAAATTACCCAGTGTCGGGTATGTGGTTATCAGCAGTGTGAAAATGTACTAATACGTTCTGTGTAACATGTTTAACTCTAATTAGGTTCCAGCTTTATGTTTACGTCTCAGATAGCCTTTATCTAACAATCCTACTTAAAATAAATTACTTTTATTATTGCCTCTATTTCAACCCATGTTCACACAATAAAATCTCCAGACTTTTTTTTTTATTTTCCTGCTTTTGTTCTGTCTGTAACAGTAACTAAAAAAGAAAAAGAAGATCAGAAAATTACTTTGGTTTCTCAACACCATATCTTCTAACATAGTCCATAGGATTTAGCAAGCAGCCTGATCTTGTGTAAGAAGATATACATTATTATAAATGCTTATATATTTATCAATTTTATGTCAATTCCAGCTGAATTTCAAATACATAGAAGTCATAAACCAAATAAAACATCAATTTGAGAGAGGAAAAATTATGAATTACATTATCTGGTTGGATTATATATAATATAAAAATGTGTCAGTATATTTCTAGTGATAAATTTGTTTTCTGTAGCAAAATATTAACTGATTCCTTTTTTTGTCAATTTTACTGAAATATTATAGAAGGAAATTTAAACTGTCAAGATTTGCTATTTGCTGTCAAGAATTTAATATTTCATTTATGATCCAGGTTTTTATTATTTAAAATTTAAAAAAGAATAGCTTAGTAAAGAAGAAATAATTAGTATGTAACCATTGTTGGAGAGGTTTAAAAGCAATATATATGAATGAATGCCTGCATAATTACTTAATAAATGAGCACTAACATAGATACATATTTTGTTGGTAGAATTGGGTTACCACTTAGACTCTTAGTAATAAAATAAAGCTCACTGATAGTTGATATATGTATTTTTTATAAATATTAATATGGCAGCTAAATAGCTTATTTTCATTATATTATTTCCTATGCAAGAGTGTTAGGCTAATATTGTTATCAGCTCTCCTGAAAAACATGCAAGAGACCTGAGAAAAAAAATCCTCAGGTTGATAGTTATTCACCCATTTATCCTCTGAGTGAAAATGGTTAGTTCACAATGTCAATTATGGGTTCAAATCTGCAGTGAAATCAAAACGGGAGAAAAACTTTTTTCTCATGTTGTTGGTTATATAAAATAATAATTCCTTACCTGTAATAATTTAATTTCATCTCTCTTTGATAAATCTTTGAGAACATTTGGAAATTTAACTTGAAAAAGTTTTATCTTATATTTACTGCTATGTATTTCATTTTTATTATTATTATTATACTTTAAGTTTTAGGGTACATGTGCACAATGTGCAGGTTAGTTACGTATGTATACATGTGCCATGCTGGTGGGCTGCACCCATTAACTCGTCATTTAGCATTAGGTATATCTCCTAATGCTATCCCTCCCCCGTCCCCCCACCCCACAACAGTCCCCAGAGTGTGATGTTCCCCTTCCTGTGTCCATGTGTTCTCATTGTTCAGTTTCCACCTATGAGTTAGAATATGCGGTGTTTGGTTTTTTGTTCTTGCGATAGTTTACTGAGAATGATGATTTCCAATTTCATCCATGTCCCTACAAAGGACATGAACTCATCATTTTTTATGGCTGCATAGTATACCATGGTGGATATGTGCCACATTTTCTTAATCCAGTCTATCATTGATGGACATTTGGGTTGGTTCCAAGTCTTTGCTATTGTGAATAGTGCCGCTATAAACATACATGTGCATGTGTCTTTATAGCAGCATGATTTATAGACCTTTGGGTATATACCCAGTAATGGGATGGCTGTGTCAAATGGTATTTCTAGTTCTAGATCCCTGAGGAATGGCCACACTGACTTCCACAATGGTTGAACTAGTTTACAGTCCCACCAACAGTGTAAAAGTCTTCCTATTTCTCCACATCCTCTCCAGCACCTGTTGTTTCCTGACTTTTTAATGGTTGCCATTCTAACTGGTGTGAGATGGTATCTCATTGTGGTTTTGATTTGCATTTCTCTGATGGCCAGTGATGGTGAGCATTTTTTCATGTGTTTTTTGGCTGCATAAATGTCTTCTTTTGAGAAGTGTCTGTTCATGTCCTTCGCCCACTTTTTGATGGGGTTGTTTGTTTTTTTCTTGTAAATTTGTTTGAGTTCATTGTAGATTCTGGATATTAGCCCTTTGTCAGATGAGTAGGTTGTGAAAATTTTCTCCCATTTTGTAAGTTGCCTGTTCACTCTGATGGTAGTCTCTTTTGCTGTGTAGAAGCTCTTTAGTTTAATTAGACCCCACTTGTCAATTTTGGCTTTTGTTGCCATTGCTTTTGATGTTTTAGATGTGAAGTCCTTGCCCATGCCTATGTCCTGAATGGGAATGCCTAGGTTTTCCTCTAGGGTTTTTATGGTTTTAGGTCTAACATGTAAGTCTTTAATCCATCTTGAATTAATTTTTTATAAGGTGTAAGGAAGGGATCCAGTTTCGGCTTTCTACGTATGGCTAGCCAGTTTTCCCAGCACCATTTATTAAATAGGGAATCCTTTCCCCATTGCTTGTTTTTCTCATGTTTGTCAAAGATCACATAGTTGTAGATATGCGGCATTATTTCTGAGGGCTCTGTTCTGTTCCATTGATCTATATCTCTGTTTTGATACCAGTACCATGCTGTTTTGGTTACTGTGGCCTTGTAGTATAGTTTGAAGTTAGGTAGCGTGATGCCTCCAGCTTTGTTCTTTTGGCTTAGGATTGACTTGGCAATGCGGGCTCTTTTTTGGTTCCATATGAACTTTAAAGTAGTTTTTTCCAATTCTGTGAAGAAAGTCATTGGTACCTTGATGGGGATGGCATTGAATCTATAAATTACCTTGGGCAATGTGGCCATTTTCACAGTATTGATTCTTCCTTCCCATGAGCATGGAATGTTCTAACATTTGTTTGTATCCTCTTTTATTTCCTTGAGCAGCAGTTTGTAGTTCTCCTTGAAGAGGTCCTTCACGTCCCTTGTAAGTTGGATTCCTAGGTATTTTACTCTCTTTGAAGCAATTGTGAATGGGTGTTCACTCATGATTTGGCTCTCTGTTTGTCTATTATTGGTGTATAAGAATGTTTGTGATTTTTGTACATTGATTTTGTATCCTGAGATTTTGCTGAAGTTGCTTATCAGCTTGAGGAGATTTTGGGCTGAGACAATGGGGTTTTCTAGATATACAATAATGTCATCTGCAAACAGGGACAATTTGACTTCCTCTTTTCCTAATTGAATACCCTTTATTTCCTTCTCCTGCCTAATTGCCCTGGCCAGAACTTCCAACACTGTGTTGAATAGGAGTGGTGAGAGAGGGCATCCCTCTCTTGTGGCAGTTTTCAAAGGGAATGCTTCCAGTTTTTGCCCATTCTGTATGATATTGGCTGTGGGTTTGTCATAGATAGCTCTTATTATTTTGAGATACGTCCCATCAACACCTAATTTATTGAGAGTTTTTAGCATGAAGGTTGTTGAATTTTGTCAAAGGCCTTTTCTGCATCTATTGAGATAATCACGTGATTTTTGTCTTTGGTTCTGTTTATATGCTGGATTACATTTATTGATTTGTGTATATTGAACCAGCCTTGCATCCCAGGGAAGAAGCCCACTTGATCATAGTGGACAAGCTTTTTGATGTGCTGCTGGATTCGGTTTGCCAGTATTTTATTAAGGATTTTGCATCAATGTTCATCAAGGATATTGGTCTAAAATTGTATTTCTTATTTATGTGTAATCAATTTGCCTTAATGATGGAGACAAATTAGTTTAATAATGTATCTATCATCTTAAGGTCTCTTAATTGCTTTGGGTTACATCTTTTTTTTTTGCTTAAATTTTATTTATTTGACAAAACTGCATTTTAAATGTAAATGTATATTTAAATAATTAATATGAATATTATTTATAATATAAATTATTTTAAAAGTTTATTATACCATTGCAAGTACAGATGTATAGTGCACTGCTATATGTCTAAAGATTATTTTTACTGATAGGTAACTCCTGTGTAAATATAATAACAATTTCTTAGAAAGTTTAGAAAAGTTCCTGATTTCCAAGAATATTTAAAATTGTTAAAAATGTGTTTTTCTAGTAGATATTTTCTCTGATTAAGCTATTGATATCATAAAATATGATTACTTTTTTCTTCCAGTTTTTTAGTATACATAGATTAATATTTTATCTCATTTTTTAAATGCTCCCTTTTGATGCGATATCATTCTAAGCAAAAATCAGTAAGCAAAATTTAGCACAACTTTTTTGGAATAAAGGCTAACAACGGATAAATTTGTTTATGTCAGATTTCTAATACTTTAATACTATGCTCTTTCCATTATAATAATGTAGTAACTTCATTGTATGATTTAGAAAAGTAACATGAGTAAATAGAATTAGGATACATTGATTTTATCTCCTGCAACTTATCACTATGTTAACATAATAACTTAGTTTCACCACATATTTAATCTCCAGATTTATATCCACATGTTATCTAAGACTTTATTTTATTTATTTTTTGAGATAGAGTCTCGCTCTGACACCGAGGCTGGAGTGCAGTGGCTCAATCTCGGCTCACTGCAACGTCTGCCTCCAAGGTTCAAGCAATTCTCCTGCCACAGCCTCCAGAGTAACTGGGATTACAGGCACGTGCCACCATGCCTAGCTAATTTTTCTACTTTTAGTAGGGATGGGGTTTCACCATGTTGGCCAGGTTGGTCTCAAACTCCTGACCTCAAGCGATATGCCCACCTTGGCCTTCCAAAGTGCTGGAATTACAGGTGTGAGCCAACACGCCCATCCTCTGAGATTTACTAAAGTGAGAAGAAATTAAAGTATTCCAGGATAGAAAATGATTAATTTACAAGTGAACAATACGAGAAGAGAGCTTCTTTCTACTTTTGGCATATATTTAAACTGTTAGTCATAGTTAATACTTATTGAGGACTTACTATTGTTACCAAAATGCCAGGAGTTTGATGTAGGTCATTTTGCTTGCTGCATGGTAAGCCAGTCACTGAAACAACAAATATTGTCAGAGATGGCTTGATTCAATTATGAGTGATGTCAGCCTGAGAGAGAAGAAACAAACCTCAAATCTGACTCTCCTCCCTGACTAAAGTCAAGAGTTTATATAGCTGGGAAGAAAGTTAGTTGCATTCAGGAAAACAGGAATTAATCCTGGATGAGGAAAAGCAGTTGGTCAATGGAGGATAGGTGGTAGGTTGGTGTATTAGTCCATTTTCACGCTGCTGAATAAAGAATTTTATAGCACTGAATGCCCACAAGAGAAAGCAGGAAAGATCTAAAATTGACACCCTAACATCACAATTAAAAGAACTAGAAAAGCAAGAGCAAACACATTCAAAAGCTAGCAGAAGGCAAGAAATAACTAAGATCAGAGCAGAACTGAAGGAAATAGAGACACAAAAAACCCTTCAAAAATTAATGAATCCAGGAGCTGGTTTTTTGAAAAGATCAACAAAATTGATAGACCGCTAGCAAGACTAATAAAGAAGAAAAGAGAGAAGAATCAAATAGACACAATAAAAAATGATAAAGGGGATATCACCACCAATCCCACAGAAATACAAACTACCATCAGAGAATACTATAAACACCTCTATGCAAATAAACTAGAAAATCTAGAAGAAATGGATAAATTCCTCGACACATACATCCTCCCAAGACTAAACCAGGAAGAAGTTGAATCTCTGAATAGACCAATAACAGGCTCTGAAATTGAGGCAGTAATCAATAGCTTACCAACCAAAAAAGTCCAGGACCAGATGGATTCACAGCCAAATTCTACCAGGGTACAAAAAGGAGCTGATACCATTCCTTCTGAAACTATTCCAATCAATAGAAAAAGAGGGAATTCTCCCTAACTCATTTTATGAGGCCAGCATCATCATGATACCAAAGCCTGGCAGAGACACAACCAAAAAAGAGAATTTTAGACCAATATCCTTGATGAACATCGATGCAACAATCCTCAATAAAATACTGGCAAACCGAATCCAGCAGCACATCAAAAAGTTTATCCACCATGATCAAGTGGGCTTCATCCCTGGGATGCAAGGCTGGTTCAACATATGCAAATGAATAGATGTAATCCAACATATAAACAGAACGAAAGACAAAAACCACATGATTATCTCAATAGATGCAGAAAAGGCCTTTGACAAAATTCAACAATGCTTCATGCTAAAAACTCTCAATAAATTAGGTATTGATGGGACATATCTCAAAATAATAAGAGCTATCTATGACAAACCCATAGCCAATATCATACTGAATGGGCAAAAACTGGAAGCATTCCCTTTGAAAACTGGCACAAGACAGGGATGCCCTCTCTCACCACTCCTATTCAATGTAGTGTTGGAAGTTCTGGCCGGGGCAATCAGGCAGGAGAAGGAAATAAAGGGTATTCAATTAGGAAATGAGGAAGTCAAATTGTCCCTGTTTTCAGATGACATGATTGTATATCTAGAAAACCCCATTGTCTCAGCCCAAAATCTCCTCAAGCTGATAAGCAACTTCAGCAAAGTCTCAGGATACAAAATCGGTGTACAAAAATCACAAGCATTCTTATACACCAATAACAGACAAACAGAGAGCCAAATCATGAGTGAACTCCCATTCATAATTGCTTCAAAGAGAATAAAATACCTAGGAATCCAACTTACAAGGGATGTGAAGGACCTCTTCAAGGAGAACTACAAACCACTGCTCAATGAAATAAAAGAGGATACAAACAAATTGAAAAATATTCCATGCTCATGGGTAGGAAGAATCAATATCGTGAAAATGGCCACATTGCCCAAGGTAATTTATAGATTCAATGCCATCCCCATCAAGCTACCAATGACTTTCTTCACAGAATTGGAAAAAACTACTTTAAAGATCATATGGAACCAAAAAAGAGCCCACATCGCCAAGTCAATCCTAAGCCAAAAGAACAAAGCTGGAGGCATCACGCTACCTGACTTCAAACTATACTACAAGGCTATAGTAACCAAAACAGATGGTACTGGTACCAAAACAGAGATACAGATGAATGGAAGAGAACAGAGCCCCCAGAAATAATACCACACATGTACAACCATCTGATCTTTGACAAACGTGACAAAATAAGAAATGGGGAAAAGATTCCCTATTTAATAAATGGTACTGGGAAAACTGGCTAGCCATATGCAGAAAGCTGAAACTGGATCCCTTCCTTACATCTTATACAAAAATTAATTCAAGATGGATTAAAGACTTAAATGTTAGACCTAAAACCATAAAAACCCTAGAAGAAAACCTAGGCAATACCATTCAGGACATAGGCATGGGCAAGGACATGTCTAAAACACTAAAAGCAATGGCAACAAAAGCCAAAATTGACAAGTGGGATCTAATTAAAGAGCTTCTGCACAGCAAAAGAAACTATCATCAGAGTGAACAGGCAACCTAAAGAATGGGAGAAAATTTTTGCAATCTACTCATCTGACAAAGGGCTAATATCCAGAATCTACAATGAACTCAAACAAATTTACAAGAAAAAAACAACCCCATCAAAAAATGGGCAAAGGATATGCACAGACACTTCTCAAAAGAAGACATTTATGCAGCCAAAAAGCACATGAAACAATGCGCATCTTCACTGGCCATCAGAGAAATGCAAATTAAAACCACAATGAGATACCATCTCACACCAGTTAGAATGGCGATCATTAAAAAGTCAGGAAACAACAGGTGCTGGAGAGCATGTGGAGAAATAGGAAGACTTTTACACTGTTGGTGGGACTGTAAACTAGTTCCACCATTGTGGAAGTCAGTGTGGCCATTCCTCAGGGATCTAGAACTAGAAATACCATTTGACACAGCCATCCCATTACTGGGTATATACCCAAAGGATTAAAAATCATGCTGCTATAAAGACACATGCACACGTACATTTATAGCAGCACTATTCACAATAGCAAAGACTTGGAACCAACCCAAATGTCCAACAATGATAGACTGCGTTAAGATAATGTGGCACATATCCACCATGGAATACTATGCAGCCATAAAAAATGATGAGTTCATGTCCTTTGTAGGGACATGGATGAAACTGGAAACCATCCTTCTCAGCAAACTATCACAAGGACAAAAAACCAAACACCACATATTCTCACTCATAGGTGGGAATTGAACAATGAGAACACATGGACACAGGAAGGGGAACATCACACACTGGGGATTGTTGTGGGGTCGGGGGAGAGGGGAGGGATAGCATTAGGAGATACACCTAATGCTAAATGACGAGTTAATGGGTGCAGCACACCAACATGGCACATGTATACATATGTAACAAACCTTCACGTTGTGCACACGTACCCTAAAACTTAAAGTATAATAAAAATAAAATTAAAAAAAAATACCTAAGACTGGGAAACTTACAAAACAAAGAGGTTTTACTGGACTGACAGTTCCACGTGGCTGGGGAGGCCTCACAATCATGGCAGAAGGCAAGGAGGAGCATGTCACATCTTAGGTAGATGGCGGCAGACAAAAAGAGAGCTTCTGCAGAGAAACTCCTGTTTTTAAAACCATCAGATCTTGTGAGACCCATTGAGTATCAAGAACAGCATGGGAAAGACCCACCCCCAGGATTCAATGGTCTCCCATCCGGTCCCTCCCACAACACGTGTGAATTATGGAAGCTACAAGATGAAATATGGGTGGCGACACAGAGCCAACCCTTATCAGTTGGGCCATCGTGAAGAATGGGGTTCTGGTGTCTAATTGGATGTGGTGATCTGGTAAGTTTCACTTCCCTGATGGGAGGGCTGAAAGTTGATCTCCTGTGAAAGGGACTAAGATAAAACAAATGTTAAGTTTCAAGCTTTAAGACTGGGAGGGTCAATTTCTATGTATTTTTTTTTTTTTTTTAAAGCGAGCGTCAACATCTGTTCATCAGTTCTATGGGGAAATTAGTCTCGTTTCACTCTGAATCAGACACTCTAAGTATATTCCCTTTTATTTGCATTTAACTAAAATCCTATATGAAGGTGCTATAATTATCTTTATTGAACACATTTGGAAACTAAAATTTACAAAAAGTTTACATAAAGTATTCATGACCACATGGGCACATGTATCTGAGCTTGATTATCACAGGAGACATAATTATTGAGATACTGTCCCATGGAGAAGAAAGAGACTAGCAACATCTACGCATCATATGAAAGTATACTAAATGAACCTTCAAGGTAAATATCTACCCCTACCATTTTAGAGATGTAGTAAATTCCCAACACTAATGTTAAGGGAATGTAAATTCAAAATGACCTATAAGTAGTTCATCATACCATTATCCCAGAGGGTATCTTTCCCTGTTTCTGCACAGCTATTAAGCATTTCATCTTCTCTGCTAACATACTGTTCTAAAACTAGTTCATTTACACCTAAGACTTAATTTTTTTTTAATTTCAGTTAGGAAGCTATTTTTTTATTCATTTATCCTTTAAGTTTCTCCAAAAATATAATTCCCTGGTTTTGATCATTAAGCTTCTGCATTATTCCTTGTATTAAAGACATATCATTGTTCCTGTAAGATGCTCCCAGAATAAATTTGTATATGCTCTGCAATGTAAATCAAAGCTTTTGTGCCCATTCTAGGGTCTAATTAGTGCTCTACTTATTTAGCATCTGGACACTCCCTAGGATAACACTTCCTTGATTTGTGATTTGCATATGCTGAGAGTAGAGACTTGACTTAAAGTACATGGTTGAGTGTACTTTGTCTGTCATTTTATTATTTTTTCTGCATTTCCATGCCAGCAAGGTGATAGATGATGAATAAATACTACTTCTTTCATAAATCTGTCTTACCAATTTTTTATGTAAGTAAGCTGCCCAATAAAACTGTGAAAATGAAGCCCTATTATCAAATATATTATAGATACTTTTGTTTAAAAAGTTGTTTTGTGAATTATGATGTATTACCTGATATTAGACATACCTACTCACCATGAACAAGTGCAAAACTACATAATATGTATTAAAAAACTATTTTTAGGCATTGTCCAGACAATGCATGTCCGTAATCTTGTCAAAAAAGACAATACATCAAGTGAGCCTCATGTTCTAGGTGGCTTTTTGTCTAGAACAATTGTATTGATATCAGTATAAAGAAGATAGAACCAAATATAGAGGGAAAAATCACATTTAAGGTGGGAGCAGATTGGAGTATGAGGCTGCTGAAGCTGACTTTGTGGAATGGTCAATAAGAAAGGAGGAGTCACTAAAGCTTTATGTAAAATCTTCCCTATTTCACCTTAAATCCTAGGCAGGCAGCTTTTAATCCCCAGCTATGATCAATATTGATAGCTTATGTTCCATCTGAACTTATGACTATATGTTTTAACAATGTATGTTAACAGAGGGATTCTCAATTGATTAGTGCTTGGAAAAATAATCAATTATGGCCGAGAAAGTAAAAGAGAACAGTGAAAATCATTATCAATGGCTGGTAAGTCAGGGGATACTAAAGAAGATCAGAGTAAGAGGATATTAGGATAGTATTTGGATTAGGCTAATTGAAAAAAAATAGAAAAACAAACAAACAACAACAACAAATAACAGGACAAATCCAGAGTGTCTTCTGGCCTATGGGGAACTGCCTTGAGTCCTTACATGGATATGTATTGGGGTAAGGTGGCTATCTTCATGTTGAACAGTTTTTATGCTTGATATCTCTTGGTAGCTTAAGAACTCAACTGAATTTAAAGAGAGAAGAAGGAGAAGCAGAAGAAGCAGCAGGAGCAGGGGTAGCAGCAGCAATGAGAGAGCACTGGGAGAGTAAGATTCCTTGTCATAGAAAACCATTTTTTTTTTCCAGAAGCAAAATAACAGACTTACAAACTCAAATTGTATAGATTATTGTTCCTGAGCAGAACCAAGAGACCATTAAAGACCATGATAGGCATTATTAGATCACAGTTAACCAATCACAAATAAAAACAACTAAGGTAAACTGTGAGCAAATGAGTAGTTCCCTATGAGTCAATAAACTCATATATTAATTTATAAAATACATGTACATAAAAAATCTTATATATTCTAATGCTTATTTATGATTGGATTCCAATGATGGGCAAGTTCCTTTCATTAATATTGTTCAGTATTTAATTAATATGTTTAGCAGTGATCCCCAACCTTTTTGTCATCAGGGAGTGGTTTTGTGGAAGACAGTTTTTCCATGGATGTTCAGGGAGATATTTTCGAGATGAAACTTTTCTACCTCAGATCATCAGGCAGTAGATTCTCATAAGGAACACGCAGTCTACATCCCTCATGTGCACAGTTCACAGTAGATGTCTCACTTCTAAGAGAATCTGATGCCATCACTGACCTGACAGGAGGTGGAGCTCAGGAGGTCATGCTGGCTCACCCAGGTGCTGCTCACTTCCTGCTTGTGGCCCGGTTCCTAACAGACCAAGGTCTGGTAGCAGTTGGTGGTGCAGGGATTGGGGACCTCAGTATGATAGCATAGATACTGTTGATAATGATGGCTAAACTACTGATGTGATATATGTGGAATAGCTTTGAAAAGAAGAAATTTTTAATCTTAAATATAGCTCGGTAGACCTGACTTTTTTATTATTACCAACAAACACACATTCAAATAACCAAATTTTAGGTTATATTTTTGTTTCTTTTTACCCTCTAAGGTATTTCAGAACTTGAGTTACCAGAATGTGAATTATGCGTCTACTTACCAGTACTCTGCATTATTAAATTTTACAAGAACTGCATCTAAAATGTATCTGACAAACATATGTAAAAATCTTTTAGACGTATTCTGTGCGTTAGAAAGGGATAAGCATTTCAAATAAAATGATTGTTCTATTGACATACACACAGTGTGAAGCTGCATTGGTTCTTAGTGATACCATATCTTATTTTTGAGGTTTAACTAAAACTGCTCAGGGCAAGAGATAAGAAAGGTGAGGCAGCTTGTAGCTATGTCTGCGTAACTGAAACTCTAAAAATGGAAATGATAGCATAATGCAATTATTAGAACCATGTTAAAAACATATTGCTTGAAACCAGGCTGAATGCATTCAAAATAAAATATATTCACAATCTTAAATTTCTTCAAGTCAAAACGAAGAATAATTGAATTTTATAAAGCAAATGTCTAGGCATTATTAGTGTTAACTTGCCTTAAATTCATGTAAAAAAGGTAAAACATTTTTTCCTTGAACATGGTCTTAATTCTGTTATCTTTTATACATCCCATGTATAATACTATTAATAATATTTCTGCATCTACTTAAACTTTCATTTCATCAAAGTAGCATTATGAACATGATCTAATGTATTTAATTTTCTTAATTGAAACTTTAAAAATTTCTCTGCTTCCTAGTGAGAATACACTTGGTATTTTCAAAAACATAACTTCAGCACCCATTAATAAAAAACAATGTAATGTAACAGAATCCATGTAAATGTGGACTAAATCTCCAAAACTCTTTCAATATTAGCACGACTCATTATGAAAACTAATTATGATTATAATAATAAGCTGTGCATTCTTATGTCTGTCAGCCCCTTTCCACAGGACACATGGTTCTGTCCAGCAAAATGAAGTTAAGATTTTATGGTTTATACAGATAATCTGAGCCCTCAATAGATATTTTGTAAGTTTCTTATCCCACCAGGATTCCTACTAGGCAGTTGTAATTCTTCTTACTGAAGATAACAATAAAATATTAGCCATCTTCTCTATGCAATCCCCATACAGGAATGCAATTAGAGATGATTAATTCTCAAGGCAGTGTGCTCTGAATATTTTAAAGAAAGGAGTGAGGACTATCTTCTGACTTCAGATAAGGCTTTCACTGCTGTCCCCATCAAGGAATCCTACCAGCTCCTTTTGTCCTTTTGACAACAATTCAGCAGCTCCTTGTCACTTTTTTTGTTTGTTTGTTTTGTTTTTCTTTTTGTTTTTTTGTTTTGAGATGGAGTCTCTCTCTGTAGCCCAGGCTGGAGTGCGGTGGCGCTATCTCAGCTCACTGAAAGCTCCGCCTCCTAGGTTCACACCATTCTCCTGCCTCAGCCTCCTGAGTAGCTGGAAATACAGACAGGCGCCCGCCACCATGCCTGGCTAATTTTTTTGTTTGTTTGTTTGTTTGTTTACTTTAGTAGAGACGGAGTTTCACCGTGTTAGGCAGGATGGTCTTGATCTCCTGACCTTGTGATCCGTGGAAAGCATTTTTATCCTGAATAATTAGCTCCTAGATTCAAACCTATAATTTCTAATATCCCTCCTTGAAAAATCCCTGGATTATCTGTAGCTATAGATTGCAAGGAAACCTTTTCAGCAATTCACCATAATAAATAAATAGTTCATCTGAGCAGACTAATAAAGAGTAAGGAGATTGGTTGATAATAAAAGTCTCCTGTCAAAGAAAAGTCTAGGACCCAATGGTTTCACTGTTGAATTCTACCAAACATTTAAAGAAAAACTAAAACTAATCCCCCTCAAGCAATTTCCATAAATGGAAGAGGAAATACTTCCAAATTAATTTTATGAGGCTAGAATAACCTTGATACCAAAGCCAGACAAAGACACTGAAAGAAAAAATTACAAGGCAATATCCTTGATTCAGAGAGATGTAAAAATCCTCAACACAATACTAACAAATCAAATTCAACAGCACGTTAAATGGATAATTTTACCATTATTAAGAGGAATTTATCACAGATATGCAAGGATGCTTCAACATATGCAAATCAATAAATGAGACACCACATTAACAGAATGAAGAACAAAATTCATATGACCACCTCAGTAGAAGCAGAAAATACATTTCACAAAATTCAATATCTCTTCATGATAAAAAGCTCTCAACAAACTATGTGCAGAAAGAATGTACATAATAAAGGTCACATATGACAAGCCTACTGCTAACATCATATTCAATGGTGAAAAGTTGAAAGGTTTTTATATAAGATCAAGAAGAATAAGACAAGAGTGCCCAGTCAGGCCACTTCTATTCAACATAGTACTGAAAGAACCAGTCAGTGCAATTAGGCAAGAGAAAAAAATAAAAGGCCACCAAATAGAAAGGAAGAAGTCAAATTGCCTTTTTTGCAGATTACATGATCTTATACTTGAAAAACCATAAAGACTCTATCAAAACTATTAGCACTAGTAAATCAGTTCAGGAAAGTAGGAAAATACAAGATCAACATAAAATAATCAGTAGCATTTCTATAAACTAACAATGAACTATCTGAAAAAGAAATAAATACAGCCACCTGATTAACAACAACTACAAAAAATAAAATACTTAAGACTAAATTTAACTCATGAGGTGAGCTTGTACGCTGTACACTGAATCTATAAAACCAACTTGTATGCTGAACTAATGTGTCCACTGAAAACTGTAAAACATTGATTAAAGTAATTTAAGATGAAACAAATAGGTGGAAAATTACCCAGTGTTCATGGTTTAGAAGAATTAATGTTGCTAAAATGTCTATATTATGCAAAGCAAGCCAAAAATTCAATGCAATTTCTACCAAATTTTAATGATTATTTTCCTAGAAATAGAAAAATCAACCTTACAGTTTGTATGAAACCACAAAAGACCACAAATAACCAAAGCAAACTTGAGCAAAAACACAAAGCTGAGGGTGTCACCCTACTTGATCTCAACATCTACTACAAAGATATAATAATCAATACATGATACTGTCATAAAACAGACACATAGACCAATTGAACATTACAAGCCCAGAAATAAATACACACATTTATTGTTAATTGATTTTTGACAAAGATACCCAGAAAACACAAGTGGGAAAGGACATTCTCTTAAATAAATGGTGTTGTGAAAACTAACTGTTCCTAAGCAAAATAATGAAATTAGACCCTTATCTTACACAATACATAAAAACCAATGCAAAAAGCATTAAAGATTTAAATGTAAGAACTGAGACTATAAGACTGTTAGAGAAAAACGTAAGAAAAAAGTCCCATGGCATTGGTCTGGGCAATGATTTTTTGAATATGAATTCAAAAACAAAGGTAATAAAAGCACAAATGTACAAATAGGATAACATCAAACTAAAATCTTCTGCACAACAATTGAAACATAAACAGATTGATGGGACAACCTATGGAGTGAGAGAAAAATATTTGCAAACCATACATCTGATAAGAAGTAAAGGCCCTGAATAGACATTTCTCAAAAGAATAGATACTAATGGCCACCAATATGTGAAAGATATTCAGTATCATTAATCATCAGGGAAATTCAAATTTAAATCACAATGAGCTATCACCTCACACCTGTTAGAACGACTGTTATCAAAAAAGACAGAAAGGTTGCCAAAGATGTAGAGGAAAGGGAGCCATGTCACACTGTTGATAAGAAAGTAAATTAGTCCACTCATTATGAAAAACAGTATGGAGGTTCCTCAAAAAACTAAGAACTACCATATGATCCAGCAATCCAACTGCCAGATATATATCCAAAGGAAGTGAAATCAGTATGTCAAAGGGATAGCTGCACTCCTAGGTTCGTTGCAGTACTATTTACAATAGGCAAGACATGGAATCAATGCAAGTGCCTATCAATGAATGAATGAATAAAGAACATGTGCTATCTATACACAATGGAGTACTATTCCACCTTAAAAAGAAGAGAATTCTATTTTTTGCAACAATATGTATGAACCTGGAGAACATTATGTGAAGTGAAATATAAAAGCTAGGCACAGAAAGAGAAATACCACACGATCTCACCCATATATGAAATTTTTAAAAGGAGAATTTATAAATACTGGGAATAGAATGGATTTTGTCAGATTCTGGAAGTGGGAACAGGGGAGATTGGGGAAAGGTTGGGTAAAGGATACAAAATTTCAGTTAGACAGGAGAAATAAAGCTATCTACCATACAGCATAGTGATTATAGTTGATAACAATATTGTTATTTTATATTCAAAAATCATTAGGAGGCTAGATGTTAATTGTTCTTACTACACACCAAAAAAGATATGTGATGAGGTAATGCATATGTTAATTTGCTTAATTCAGCCATTTCACAATGCATACATTATTTAGATGGCATGGTGTGTATTAGTTCGTTTTCATACTGCAATGAAGAACTATTTGAGACCGAGTAATTTATAAACAAAAGATGGTTAATTGACTCACAATTCTGCATGCCTGAGGAGGCCTCAGGAAACTTACAATCATGGCAGAAGGTGAAGGGGAAGCAAGGCATGTCTTACATGGTGTCAGGAGAAAGAGAATGCAAACGTGGATGTGTCACACTTTTAAACCATCAGATCTCATGAGAACTCGCTATCACAAGAAGAGCATGGGGAATCCAGTCACCTCCCACGAGGTCGCTCTCTTGACACATGGGGATTAATTTGACATGAGATTTGGGTGGGAACACAGAGCCAAACCATATCATGGTGTATACCATAAATATATACCGTTTTATTTGTCAATTAAAAACATGTTCTCGACATGATTGTATATCCAGAAAACCCCATTGTCTCAGCCCAAAATCTCCTTAAGCTGATAAGCAACTTCAGCAAAGTCTCAGGATACGAAATCAATGTACAAAAATCACAAGCATTCTTATACAGCAACAACAAACAGAGAGCCAAATCATGAGTGAACTCCCATTCACAATTGCTTCAAAGAGAATAAAATACCTAGGAATCCAACTTACAAGGGATGTGAAGGACCTCTTCAAGGAGAACTACAAACCACTGCTCAAGGAAATAAAAGAGGATACAAACAAATGGAAGAACATTCCATGCTCATGGGTAGGAAGAATCAATATCATGAAAATGGCCATACTGCCCAAGGTAATTTACAGATTCAATGCCATCCCCATAAGCTACCAATGACTTTCTTCACAGAATTGGAAAAAACTACTTTAAAGTTCATATGGAACCAAAAAAGAGCCTGCATTGCCAAGTCAATCCTAAGCCAAAAGAACAAAGCTGGAGGCATCACACTACCTGACTTCAAATTATACTACAAGGCTACAGTAACCAAAACAGCATGGTACTGGTACCAAAACAGAGATATAGATCAATGGAACAGAACAGAGCCCTCAGAAATAACGCCGCATATCTACAACTATCTGATCTTTGACAAACCTGAGAAAAACAAGCAATGGGGAAAGGATTCCCTATTTAATAAATGGTGCTGGGAAAACTGGCTAGCCATATGTAGAAAGCCGAAACTGGATCCCTTCCTTACACCTTATACAAAAATCAATTCAAGATGGATTAAAGACTTAAACGTTAGACCTAAAACCATAAAAACCCTAGAAGAAAACCTAGGCATTCCCATTCAGGACATAGGCATGGGCAAAGACTTCATGTCTAAAACACCAAAAGCAATGGCAACAAAAGCCAAAATTGACAAATGGGATCTAATTAAACTAAAGAGCTTCTGCACAGCCAAAGAAACAACCATCAGAGTGAACAGGCAACCTACAAAATGGGAGAAAATTTTCGCAACCTACTCATCTGACAAAGGGCTAATATCCAGAATGTACAATGAACTCAAACAAATTTACAAGAAAAAAACAAACAACCCCATCAAAAGGTGGGCGAAGGACATGAACAGACACTTCTCAAAAGAAGACATTTATGCAGCCAAAAAACACATGAAAAAATGCTCACCATCACTGGCCATCAGAGAAATGCAAATCAAAACCACAATGAGATACCATCTCACACCAGTTAGAATGGCAATCATTAAAAAGTCAGGAAACAACAGGTGCTGGAGAGGATGTGGAGAAATAGGAAGACTTTTACACTGTTGATGGGACTGTAAACTAGTTCAACCATTGTGGAAGTCAGTGTGGCGATTCCTCAGGGATCTAGAACTGGAAATACCATTTGACCCAGCCATCCCATTACTGGGTATATACCCAAAGGACTATAAATCATGCTGCTATAAAGACACATGCACACGTATGTTTATTGCGGCATTATTCACAATAGTAAAGACTTGGAACCAACCCAAATGTCCAAGAATGATAGACTGGATTAAGAAAATGTGGCACATATCCACCATGGAATACTATGCAGCCATAAAAAATGATGAGTTCATGTCCTTTGTAGGGACATGGATGAAATTGGAAATCATCATTCTCAGTAAACTATTGCAAGAACAAAAAACCAAACACCGCATATTCTCACTCATAGGTGGGAATTGAACAATGAGATCACATGGACACAGGAAGGGGAACATCACACTCTGGGGACTGTTGTGGGATGGGGGGAGGGGAGATGGATAGCATTGGGAGATATACCTAATGCTAGATGACGAGTTAGTGGGTGCAGCGCACCAGCATGGCACATGTATACATATGAAACTAACCTGCACCATGTGCACATGTACCCTAAAACTTAAAGTATAATAAAAATAAAATAAAATAAAATAAAATAAATAAAATAAAATAAATAATAAAATAAAATAAAATAAATTAAAAAAAAAACCATGTTCTCACTTATAAGTGGAACTAAACTATGAGAACACATGGACACATAGAGGGGAACAACACACACTGGGCCTTTCAGAGGGTGGAGGGTAGAAGAAGGGGAGAGGATCTGGAAAAATAACTGATGGGTACTAGGCTTAATATCTGGGTCATGAAATAATCTCTACAAAAAACCCCCATGACACAAGTTAACCAATGTAATAAATCTGCACTTGTACCCTTGAACTTAATATAAAAGTTAAAAAAAGAAAAAATAATAATTATTATCTGAGAAGACACACAAAGTAAAAACAACAAAAATCCCATAAACAGTTAATCACATACAATTTTAAACTTGTGTTTATTACTTTCATTCATCCAGCTGTTAGTTGGTAAACTCATATTCTTGTTTTAAATGATGGATTCATTCACCTATAGAGTTTTGGCCACAATATTTTTGTGGCTACAGTATTACACACATAATTACCACCAATAAATCTTCATAGGCATGTCTTCCTTATGGGGAATATATGTCTCCTTGAAATAATTGTGTTCTCAGATTGAAGGAGAGATGACAAAAGGAGGGAAAGAGAAAAAAGGGAAAAAATGTAGAGAAGAGGACAGGATAGAAGAGGGATTGAGGAAGAAAGTATAGAGACTGAGCACTGTTGATTTTATAAAGCCCAGCATGGAGCTAGGCAAAGAGTGGTTTAGTAATAAGCACTTATTGCACTACATTTGAAAGTGAAAAATAATTCAAATGCTCATCTGATAAGCAAAGTCTTGGAGCTAGAATTTGTCAAAATGTAAACAAAATTATATAAAGATATTTTTGAGTTAGAGGGAAAGAATAATATTTAGACATAGAAGCCTAGCATCTGAGTGCACTTTCTGTGTGGGGTGAGGAGGGTGTCCTAGTAAATGTAATGCTGAAGAATTTGTCTTTGTGGAAAAGGCACAACATTATTGTAATATTGTCTAGCAGATAGAATTCATTACAAACACAGGTTAAAGGTTAAAGTATAATTTCATTTGTATCTCTTTCAATTTCTTTGGAACAGGCTATTTTTGGTTAATTGATTTTCACAGATCTTTGAGTCATGTTCACCTTCTAAATGTTAACTTATTTTTTTATTACTTATTTGTGTATGAATAGTCTATGTTGCCACCCGAAGCATAGTTTGTATTATGGTGCTACTTTTAATTTCTATTTGAGGTGTAAATATTCCAATCTTACTATGTCTGTCTTTCCTTGAAATATTAACACATTTCTAATTCTTCTGCATCAAATCATCTTTCCTCAGTATGATTGCTTGGAATCAAAGAGAGCATAGCAAATTTTCCAGAGGTATATGCTGGCTTGAAATCCAAACTATATAAGAAGTTTTTAAAGAAAAGAGGTTTTTCGAAGTTTAATATGCCAAAAATACATAAATATTTTTGATAATTTTAAAGTGGTTTTGATTGCTGTAAAATGTCTTTGAAATTTAATGAGTATTGGCTAGAAGTGCAATATATCATATTCCTGAATTTTTCTTTGAATATTAAACTATATCATGTAAGTGACACAGAGAGATACAGAAATACATTTAGAAACTGAACTAAACAAAATAGAAGGAAAAAAGTTATTTTCTCTGCAGAAATTAAATACAGATAGGCAGAATTAAAAGGTGAAGAAAATTGAGTGCTAAAAATATTTGTATATCTGTGATCTATAGGTACTGCTAAAGGAATAAAGCAAAACATCTCCTCAAAAGCTAATAGTTAGGTATATAACATTTTCTACATTACTTGCAAATTGGAAACTCTAAGCAATGTGAACAATATATGTCACCATTCAGGAAACAAAATGACTTAGCTATAAGTAACCTCATACACAGTATTAACTATGTTAAATGCACAATGCATATGGATAGACACATTGTGAATTATGTCATTGGTGGTCATGTTGCCTGTGATTTGGTGGTATGAAGAAAATTTTGCATCCTTGACATCTATGAGCAGAGAAAATTATCTAACTGTATCTGATTTTGTGAGTCTATACCTGGGGCAGTGCAGATGGTCATCATAGACTCACAAAATCTAGGAAGACTCTCTTTTCATAAACTAGAAAGATTCTATTACAGCATCATTCACAAAATGTTGTGGTAACAGGTTTATCTGCTTCTTTATTTTCTGAAAAGCCTATGAAAACTAGGACTCTTTCCCGTTCCTTTTCAAACCTTGACACTTGCACAATTCCTGCTGAATTAGGCTCTAGTAAATAATTACTAGATAAATATAGGAATTAAATCAATCTACCTAAAATATTATTCTTTAATTTCAGAACTAAACTGAGCATGATATCTTTGTCAATACATTTATCCTCTATCTCTAGGTACATGTTTTAAACATCTGCAAGAAGACACACTGTATAACTGTATAAGTAAGTTACTATCTACTCTACTTGATTTCTTAACCTAACATATCTTGTTACTGCCCTGCTAAGAATAAACCAATAACCACTAAAGCCTAAGTGGGTATTTGGAGAACAGAAGTGATAGTTTCTTCCAGTAATCATCTAATATTATATTGGCAATTCACTGTGTAAGCAAGTGTAACATCCAAATTAATATTCTGGTAAAATGTAAGTTAACATTTCTAGACATAGATACTAACACAGTCATAGTACCATGACTAAGAGAGTTCTAGAGTATAGGTCAACTGTACCTTGAGATATTTTCAAAATTGGATTCATCCAAAGGTAGACTTAATGTTTTCCTTTAAGCTGATTTAAACATAAAAGATGACAGGCTTATTGAGCTGTCTTGTATATCCTACCCTTGGAAAAGCCTGGCCCTTAACCTTTGGTATAGTACAAACCTGGAACTCAGTCACTCTAAATTATTCAAGATCTTATAAATTATGATCCAAAAGTTATGGTGAGGAATTTTCTGGTATGTCCAAGTGAGGAGGTCAGCAAATCATTTCCACAAAACAGCCATAAAGATGGTCAAAATTTATAAAAATAACCATTTTAGCTTGCTGGATATCAACCAAAGGCCTGCAAATAATGTGACAAACATTTATTATTAAAAATTGCTGAACTTCAGGTAAGAGCAGAAGAAATAGACATTCTTGTTGGGTCTGTTTCTTCTTGATCCCCTCCCTTTCCAGCTCAGTCAGCACAGAGGCTCTGCCAGTACAGGGCAAGGGGTGAGTATAGGTAAGCTTCTTTTCCACAGGCACAAAGGGCTCACTCAATTTGCATTGGTGTGTTAGTCCATTGTTACACTGCTGTAAAGAACTACCTGAGACTTGGTAAAGAAATTTAATTGAGTCACTGTTCTCCACGGCTGGGGAGGCCTCAGGAAACTTAAAATCATGGCAGAAGTTGAAGGGGAAGCAAAGTAGCATTCCACAGCGGTGAGAGAGAGAGAGAGAGAAAGAGAAAGAGAGAGCAAAAGAGAGAGAGAGAAAGTGCCACATTTTTAAAGCATTAGATCTCATAAGAACTCACTCACTATTATAACAGCATGAGGGACACTACCCTCAAGCTCCAATCACCTCCCACTGGGTCCCTCCCTCAACACATGGGGATTACAATTTGCGATGAGATTTGGGTGGGGACACAAAGCCAAAAATCATACACACATCCAGTAGTACTGTTGATGGAAGAGGCAATATTTCTGGCAAACGTCAGGGAAAGCCAATGACTCTTCTAGCTTAAGGATGCTGTCTTTGTTAGAGAAGGCATATTGCTGGATAAGGCAATATGTATGCAGGGAAGATATGCTAAGATGCATATTTTGACCTCTAGAGAAACAACCAAAATGTAACTAAGAAATATAGTACAAAACATCAACAGAGAAATTTTAGAAGTATGCTAAAAATAATGATGTAACATAAATGAAGGCAGTACATGAGAAACAAAGAAATGGAAAAAATACAGAAAACATATAAGAAAAACAAATAGCAATATGCCAAATGGAAATAAATCACTAATCACCTTAAATATAAAAGTTCTATTATATTCAAAAGGCAGAGATTATCAGACAGATTAGAAAAGTTATATCCAACTACATACTGTCTAAAAAAGAAGACACCCACTGGATTTAAAAACACAAATTGGTTCAAAGTAAAAAGATGAAAAAAATATATACCAACCAAAGGGAACATATGATGGAGATGGAGTAGTTTTTCAATGGCGGTCAAAATAGAAACAGTATTACCATATATAGACTTGTACTATACAAAGATCACTGTATTATCAAGAAAAAAAAGAGTGGTAGTTCATGGAAATTAAATATTCTATTTATTAGGAAGATACAATAATTATACAAACATATACACCTAACAAATTCTCTAATTACATGGAACAAAAATGATGGAATGGAAAGAAAAAAAGAAATGATTTAACAATAATCATTTAAATACTTCACTCTCTATAACTGACAAAACAACTAGAAGTATAATTAGCAAGAAGTCTAGAGAAGCACTATCATTGAAGTTAGCCTAACTGACATATAATATAAAGAATAAATCACCCAATAACTTTAGAATCTGCATTCTTTTCACAAGTCATGAAACATTCTCCAAAACAGGTCGTACGCTATGCTATAAAAATTCTCAATAAATTTCAAATGATTTAAGTTATACCAGACATGTTCTCTAATAAAAAGTTGAGTTAAACAATAGAAAGGAATGTGTGAAGTCTTCAAATATTGGTAAATTAAACAAAATGCTTCTAAATAACTCATAGCAAATAAAACAGCACAAGGAAAATTAGAAAACACTTTGAATTGAATAAAAAGACAGGTAATATACCAACATTTGTGGAATATTTATAGCTTTTATATTTAAAGTCTATCAGGGAAGAAGAAAGATCTCAAAACAATAATTTAAGCTCCCGGCTTATGAAACTAGAAAGAAAGTAAAGCAAACAAAAACCAAGCAAAGGGAAGAAAGTAATAAAAACTTAAAAAGACATCAAATCAAATAGAATGGAGAAAACAACAGAAAAAGTTATGAAAACCAAGTTTGTTCTCTGAAAAGATTAACAAAACTTACTAACTTATATCTGGACGCGAACTGGAACAATGTGGACAAAATTTGAATTACCAAATTAAAGAGAAGATACCTTAAAAGAACATTTAGTAATTAAAACATTAAAAATTTATATGAGGATATTGTGAAAATCAAAAATAATAAAATAGCTTTGATAAAATGGAAAAATTTCTAGAAGAGGACACTTTGAAAACCAATTCATGAAGAAACAGAAAGCACAAATACATTATATAAGACATTCAAAAATTGAATTAGTCATTAAAAATCTGCCCACAAAGAAAAGCAGAGATATTTTAATTGGTGCAGTCTATTTAATAATTGAAGAATAAATAACGTTAAGTCACCAAAACACTTCTAGCAAGTAAAGGAGTGAATACTTCTCAACTAGTTTTTATATGAGGTCAGTATTGCCCTGATACCACAACCAGACAACTATGTTGCAAGAACATAAAACTACTGTCCAAAGCCCCTCATGAATACTACCTCAGTGGTATTCATATGTTCTTTCAGCAACATATAAAAGAGATTATGCACCATGAGCAAGTTGGATGCCAAGTTAGTTTAATATCTGAAAATTATTTAGTATAATATGTTAACATAATAATGGTCAAAAGATGCATTTGACAATATTTGACTAAACAGCAGGAATGAAGCAAACACAACCCTCCTAGCAAATTAAGAGTAGAGGGAACACCTCCCACTTCATAAATGACATTTGTGAAAAACCCGCAGTTAACATGATACTTAATTGTGAAAATGCTGATTTCTCTACCTGTAATAAAAGAAACAGGAAAGAGCTTTTTTTCTTCATCAGTGTGATCTAACATTTTTTTCTTGAGGTTTTAGATGTAAAATAAGGGAAAGAAAGACAAAAACAACAAAAAAGAGCAGGTTGAGAGAAAAGAAGTAAAACTCTTATTTGCAAATGACATCACCTTTTATGTAGATAATTTCAAGCAATTAAAGGAAACAAGTAGTAAGATCATAGAATATAATATGGATTTACAAAAATTAAGTGTATTTCTATACACTTATATTCAAAACAATTCAAAACTAATATTAAGAAAGTAATACCATTTATAATACAATAAAAATTTAAATGCTTGGAAATAAAAACAAAAGAAGTACAAGGCTTGTAAAGTTAAAAAATAAAACATTGCTGAGAGAAATTAAAGTTCTAAATAAAAATTCATGGGTTGGAAGATATGATGCTTTCAAGATGGTAATCCTCCCCCAATTGATCTAAAAATTTAATGCAATTCTTATGAAGGTACCAGCAAATTTTTAAAAATATAAATTAACGAAATGATCTTAAAGTCTTATGGAGATGTAAAGTACATAAAAAAGCCAAAATAATTTAAAAAATGGAACAAATATGAAGTTAACTATCTTTTTTCAAAGTCCTTATGAAGTCAGAGTAATCAAACATTTGATATTGGGGCAAAAGTTTGTATATGAACAATAAAATATAATTGATAATTTAGAAATAAACCTTTATATTTATGATGACCTAATTTAACAAATGTGCCAAGACAATTCCCTGGGGAAAGGATAGGCAGTATTACTTTTCTCCAAATGGTGTTAGGATAATTGAATGTCCAAAAAAAAAAGGAAAAAAAAGAAATAGACATAAAACCCCTGAGATTTTAACCTTATACCATATGAAATATTAACACACAATATGCCATAGATCAAAATGGAATGAAAGTGCTAAAATGATAAAACTTCTAGAATAAAACATACATCTGGATTATAGTCTAGGAGTTTTATATTTCTGTGTTTGATATAGGATATTGTAGAACTCTTACAAGATAATAAGACAAATGTTACACAATTTTAAAAATGGGTAAAACTATTAGAAATTTTATCAATGAAGATATGCAAATGACTAATACATGAAAAGATGCTCAACATCGTTAGTGATTATGGAAACACGAATTAAAACCTCTGCAAAATATTATTTTACATAAATTAGAGTGACTATAATACAATGACAGAAAATATTAAATATTGGCAAGCAATTGGAAACTAGACCTTGCTGGTAATGAAAAATGGGTGCAACCATTCTGAAGAATTTGTTGGTTTCTTAAAATGTCAAAGATTAACAAAAATCCTAGCAATTTCACCTTTAGGATCAATGAGAAATAATAGTACATACACACACAAATACCTGCGTGCAAATATTCATAGCAGCAATTTAAGTATTTCATAATAGCCATAACCTGGCAGTTACCTAGTAAGTGGAAAACAAAATGTAACATCGTTATGTAATGAACTGCTATTCAGCAATGGAAAGGATCTGACTACTGATACATTGCACAAAATAGGTGAATTCAAATATATTAAGCTAAAAGAAAAGGGCAGGACGAAAGACCACATTCTGTATAACTCCATTTATATCAAATATCCATTAAATGCAAATTACAGAGGTAGAAAGAGATCAGTCATAAAGTAGAGTGGGGTGTGAGAGTGGGAATTAACTAAAAATTCGTTTAAGGCAGATATTTGACTGAATGTTTTAAAACTGAATTATGGTTATAGTTGCAGAACTCTATAAATTTTCTAAAAAATATTGACTACCCATATAGGAGGTGAATTATAAAGTATGTGAAATTACATGGTATTTAAAATATAAAGCTGTTTTTTTGCAGTTCCTGCTGTACTCTAGGATAAGAAAGATTAGAGATGATATGTATGTGATGTGATCAACTAAATTAAGAGAAGAATGGCGAATTAGTTGCCAAAAGTGGGACATTCTTACCACTGCTATCATCTCCTGAACCCAGTATCAACATTTTAATTATAATTTTAAAAATTATGGCACGTTTTGACAAAGTGTATAGAGGAGCAGTAATCCTTTTCAACTTAAATCTACAGGTTACTATTACCTATTGATCTGTATTAATCTGTGTTTCTTGGTTTGGATAGAATTTTCACTTCTTTTCCAAATCACAGAGCTGCTATCATTTCTTGATTTCAGTTCTCTTTCCCTATCCACACCAGTAGCACAAAAATTCAATACCCAATACATATTTTTACAACCATTACTTCCTCTGTCTCTATTAGTCCTAGCCTAATTTTCCAGATACAAAACACCCCTGTTATGTTTTACAGCTGTAATATTGTAGTCTTCTGGCCTCTAGTTATTTTTCTATTCAATACATTCTCCACTCTATGTTTGGAATACTCTGTAGAATGCTAATTTGCTTATACATGTCACAAAGAAAAACTCCTCTGTGGCTTTTCATTGGAACCATTATACATTCCACTTTTCTTAATATGGATGTTATGCTATCTATGCTTACTTGCATCACACTCTACCTGACATCCTGCACGCCAGCCAAGCTGAAATCAGAATATGCTACGTCTTTGCCCCAGATCGTTATTTATGTTATTTTCTCTTTCTGAAACATCCACTTCTGTATCATCCAACATTTGTGGCCCTCTCTTGGCTGCCTTTACCTGGTTAATTCCTAACCATCCTTTTAGACTTAGCTCAGATATAATTTCCTCTGGAATGCCTTTCTTGAAGTTCTTCTGAATAGAAAATCCTGCTATGTACCTTCGCTATCTTATTAACTTGTGGGACAATTGTAGATCTCAAAAGCATTGCAGATAACAGATGTTGAATAATTATTTAAAGAAAGAATGTATTAATGAATTAATGAAACATTGAATATAGTGTTAATATTTCAGTTGAGCAGTTTAATGTTAAGCCCTGTGAAACTTGGCATTTGGTTAAAGTATGTGCACATTTTCCAGCTCAGACCAACTTCCTATGATTAAAACCATAAATTAAAGAAGCAAGTTGCTGACACTTTGTCAGCATTCAATCAACTTCCCCCAGTGATTATCTAATTTTCTTCTCAAATAAATTTTCTCCTTCAACACTCCCTCAGGCAATAGATTATGTAAACAGATGAACCTTGAACTGAATTCTGTAGGTCATTTAGGCTATTTTAATATGGAAAATGAATTTCAGACTTAAAAAAATTCACATTCTTGCTTTATTTGTATTTATATCGCTTTACCTGTAAATGAAATAACCTCCTCAACTTATTTTGTCATTGGCATATTAAATATTTGTCATAATGTTATCAATAATTTACTTTCATACTATAAATAGCTAGGAATTGGTATTTGGGTATGTTCTTCATTGCTAATAAATATGTTCTGATGGACAAGCTATCGAATGACTTTATGAGCACAGGAATAAATTATTAGCTTAGTATATTCTAATCCTTGTACTTAGGGTATTTAAGAGCTCTGGAGTGAACCTGTCTGATAAAGGCAGTAGACTGACTCCTTGTTAGTGACTTATTCTACCTGGAAAATGATAAAAGTTGTTATAATCACAAAGCACTAAATCTTAGATATTAATATCAAAACTATAAATGCCATATTAATATCTGAGAATGACATGTATGTCTATTAGTAGGGACTAAATAGTGGATTGCACCTGAGTAGATATTTTCAAATATTTTTTTTATTTTACTTTTTGTTGTTTGTTTGGTGATGGTAGCTGTTTCCTTCAGTAAATAAAATAATGCTAAAATGGTACAGTAACAGTTTTACTAGCGTCAAGAAGAGAAGCAGATTTAAATGGTAATTTTGATATATTCTATTATATGTATACTACATATTTATCAGTGAGAATATGGAAAAGTAATCTCTTAAATAGTAATTAATGCTTAGAGAATCCATCTAAATCAATTGAGGCACATTCTGCTAAATTTAATAGATGCTGAGTGACAAGTAGATGATGAAGATGACCATTATGATAGAAATTGTGTCCCTTTAAATACCATATGTTGAAGTCTTAATACCCAGTATCTCAGAATGAGATGTTATTTGGAAATAGGGTGTTTGCAGACATAATTCATTAAAATAAGGTAACACTGGAGTAGGGCGGGTCCCCAAATCAATGTGACTGGTATTTATTTGAGAAGAACACCATGTGAAGAAAAGAGAGCTACAGAGAAAGACAATGCGAAGGTACAGGGAGAATGCCTTCTACATGCCATGAATGACAAAGACTGATAACAAAACCCCAGAAACTAGGAGAAAAGGATGGAACAGAATTTGTTTTATGAATCTGCTGATACCTTGTTCTCAGACTTCTAACCTCCAGAATTATAAGACAATGACTCTCTGTTGCTTAAGCCAACTGGTATGTGGTACTTTGTTATAGTAGCCTCAACAAACTAATATACTAATTAAAAATCAATGTTGCATATTTATCTATCTATCTATCTATCTATCTATCTATCTATCTATCTATCTATCTATCTATCTTAGATGCTAAATGGCTAGTGAAAACAATAGCTGAGCTCTAAATAGTTAAGTCAAAGAGGTAACAATGCAAAGATAGGGTATGGTTAGCTTGAACAACATGCATGCAGCAGTGTGACGTACACATCAATTTTCTGTAAGTGAGTATAAACATGAATGATCATAGGAAAAGTGTCAGATGAAATGAAAACCAAAATGCAACTATGAGACTGCCTGTTGATTTTGAAGATGGGCTTATACGAATGCTTTAGTGACTTCGGTTTGACTTCAGTGACTTCAGTTTACCTGCTGCTGAAATCCACTATCCTATGTATCTTCTTCTCCTTTTATTCCCCCTATTTTTCCAACTACTTAGTATCTTATAACATACTCTACAACTTTCTAATGTCTGTTTGCTTGTTTATTGTCTGCCTCCTCTCACTAAAATATAAGCACCATAGGGTGGGATTTTTGGTATATTTACTCACTGCTGCATGTGCTGGGATCACGGCAAGTACCTATAAATATTTGTTGAATAAATTTAAATTGGATTGAGGATTTCATATTAAGAAGAAAAATGTGGCTTAAAAATTATTTTAAAAACTTGAACTGTTAAATATTTATTTTTTATTTATTTGCTTTTTAAACACTTCTAAGCTTTGTATAAAATGAAGCCTATTTTCTTTTAAAATTATGCATGTCTAGCAAGTTCACATTTTAAAATATTTATCCTTATAACTTTATTTATAGAATGTGCTTCAGCTACATAAAAATATACAAATCTTTTTTTTGCTGAAAATTATTATATATTGATTACCACAGAATCATCATAACTACATGTGATTTTTTCATGTTTATTAACCTTTGCCCAGTTCTATGAAAGGCTCCTAGTTATATAAATATCTGTCTCCTCTTGAAAAATAACCATTAAATGTAAATTATGTGTGAAAACACAATCAAAATTGTAAGCCAATCAAAATCAATGCCACAATATATAAAAGCGTGTTTCATTAACATTTGTAAAAAGTTGCAATCATTGCAGATAGTCTTCCCCATTTTTCTTATTCTTTTTCATTATTTAGAGCTAAAATACAGAATTACACTTTTTAAAATTTCAATAGGATTTTGGGGAATGGGTGGTATTTGTTTACATGAATAAGTTCTTCGGTGATGATTTCTGAGATTTTGGTGTACCCATCACCCGAGCAGTGAACACTCCACCCAATGAGGATTACACTTATTAAGGAAATGAAACACCAGTAATTAAAATAGACTGGATAAATATATTAAGACAGACTTAGGGCTGGTATATATTTATAATCTGATCTATTTCAAATACCTTTGTTTAATACCATTTTCATGTATCTGATTAACATTACACATTTTTATAGTTTGGAAAGTTAGAAAGTGTTAATATTCTGAATTATTTCCTATTAATACTATTAGTAGCATATGAGGATATCAAATATATTGTTTTTTTGAATAGATGATCACAACTTTGTGAAGTAAAAGCCAGCCAGAGAAATTACATGACTTAATTTCCAAACCTAGAAGGGCAGCGGATAAGCTTGAACTGAGTTTTTCTGAGTCAAGCTCTAGCTTCTGTTTATGCACCATTTCATCTTGACACATGAAAGTGTTTAGGTGGCAAATCAGAAGGCAGAATGAAGGTAGGTATATCTAGTGGTCTCATCATAGCATGCACAATATTGGCAAAGCAGTTCTGGTAGCTTTCAGGGTTTCATTTTATGTACTATTTTACACAAAAATATTCTCAAGCTACCATGGAGAAACTTTAATACAAATGCAAATAAATAAAAAATTGATCCAAGGAAAAGACAGCATATTCCAGCTTTGTGCCACAATTCACTACTTTCCTGATCAAGTTTCTGTGGCCTTTATAATTATTTAGCAAACATGTTTTCAACATGAGTGTATCTTAAGGTGATGCAAATGTTCTCATACATTACAGAACAGGTACGGGACTAGAGAGATTCACAGAAATGGTTCCAGCTATCATAATCTGATTGCTGAGATAATCAGAGTTGCTCCAGGATATCTGTGGACATATTAAGGATGCTTATCTCCAAATATCACTGTCTGTTTAACTTTTTTTTTAAATTCCCTACCCAAAGTTAATTAATAATTCTTTTCCATTGCAAACCACCTCAGCACTTTGCAGATATCTCTATTACAACTTGTAAGCTTTTAGGGGACTCAGCTTTTTCCCTTTCCCAATTCTACCTAATTCTGTTCCTAAATAGGTAGGAGGTCATTCTCTGAATTAGCAGGAACCATGGTTCACCTTTCAGATGGTCCTCTGAAATACTTTATTTGTCTAGAAATGGGAAGGTTTCAGGCTACCTTCAAGAGAGAATGGTCGGTGAGCACCTCTCTCTCTCTCTCTTTCTCTCTCTCACACACACACACACACGCACACGCACACACACACAGACACATTCTCTCTCTCCCTTGCTGTCCTGTCTGTCTGTATTCCTAGACCCTTCCTTCCATGAGTCCTAAGAATCACGAAAGCGTGAGACTGGTGCTCTACGTTTCTGCCCTCAAGTTTCAGGGCAGCAATTGAAGACCAGCACTGTTAAAGGTAAGAAGCAAATCTTCCTGAATCTCTTGCTCTGTTTGCATTTTCTTTTATATGTTTTGTTTTTCCTCTGCAGGTTTCTTTATAACCATCACTGTGTTGAAACAAAAGGTGCTAAAATCCAATTGCATGCTTTTAAAACAGTGAAAGAGGCCATTCTGGCCTGCTTTGTTTCTTGGCGCTAATCTGACAACTGTTTTTACAGAGGGATGTTCTTTGTATGTTCCAGTGTCAGTCACCAGGAGCAGATTCTTAAGATTTTAGTCAAAAAAGCCCAAGTATAAACTATTTGTTTTGTTTCTCTCTCTTTTTTTTTAGACAGAGTTTTGCTCTTGTTGCCCAGGCTGGAGTGCAATGGCACGATCTCAGCTCACTGCAACCACCGCCTCCCGAGTTCAAGAGATTCTCCTGCCTCAGCCTCCCGAGCAGCTGTGATTACAGGCACCTGCCACCATGCCAGGCTAACTTTTTTGTATTTTTAGTAAAGACAAGGTTTTGCCACGTTGGCCAGGCTGGTCTCAAACTCCTGACCTCAGCTAATCCACCTGTATAGGCCTCCCAAAGTTCTGGGATTACAGGCGTGAGCCACCATGCCTGGCCAACTATTTGTTTTCTTGATCTTGTCCTGTGTGTGTGTGTGTGTGTGTGCACGTGCACACGCGTGTGCTATGAAGCATAGAATTCATAGATTTAGAAATCTGTATTCTAGGATCTATTTTTTCACACTTCAAATATCCCACTATGAGTTATATCATGATTATTTGTTCACATATTTGCCTTCTCCTGAAACTAAACTTTTGGAAGATGTGAATCACATGTTATCTACGTTTTGTCTCCCAGAAACCTATATGTCTAGTTGGTAGTTGACCGTTGCCGGGTGAAAGCTCTAAAGCCTGACTGAACTCCTGAATGAACAAATAAATGGATAGGATGATAACCTAAGTAGTCTAATATCAGCACTTAGGTTGTTCTCTAAGTGAAGGAACTTAGAGAACTGCTACAAAGTCATTGTAATTGTATACACGTGCTACACTTTGGAGATTACTGCTAAATAAAGATCAAGTTAGTGTTTGTATTTCCCCAGAGAAAATAGAGAATTGAATCTCAAAGACAAGTTGTTGCTTTGGAGGTAGAAGAGGGTTTTAATCAGCAATGAGAAGAAAAAGAGTAAGAAATGTAATCTTCTACCCAATCTCTAAGTTAAATCATTTTACCCTTTTAGACATATTCCTCATAGTTTTCACAGAGGGAAAAGGGAAAAAGTAATTCCCATCATTGCTTCCTGTTCCCCTGGCAGTCTCTATATTAAAGATGCTGGACTGCAGATCCTCACTGCTGAGGGAAAATATTAACCTCATTCTCTCCAAACACAGTATGAAGCCTAGAAAATGTCCTTCCTCATTTTGGAACTTAAGGTTGTGTACAGAACAGTCTTACAATGACAGTGTTTAGAACTGTAAGAAATCATCAAAATGAGGTAAGTCTTTGTGAGGTAGCTGTGGAGCTGATTTTTGAAAGTATTGCTGCCTATGATTTTGGAGGTGCATCATATTGTCAGGAAAGGTCTAATGTGCTTTTTAAGTTATGAAATTTTGGTGTCACATTTGTCTTGTGGGCTGCAGAAATAAAAAATAGGTTGATAATTATCTCTAAACTTTTTCTATTTTTTTTCACATTTAGGTGTATGAAAGCATTCTAAGTAGTATTGACATTTTAAAACTCAAACTATCATAAAATTAGGTAATCTATTTTAAATACTAACAATGACAACTTTATGTATTTCATTATTTAAATTATAATTCCAAAATATTATTTCAAATGCAAAACATAATATTTTTAAATAGCTATAAAATACTTTATAAATACAATCAATTGACATAAATTTATATTGTAATCCTTAAAATCAACTGATAGTTGCTATTTAGAATATTGAATTCTACTTCTTATTAGTGTTATTATAAAGAAATAATATTAATCAACAAAACCCATCCTTCAACCTCCATCTTAATTTTGCTTTAGTGCAAGTGTCTCATTCTCAGAATGCAATCCTGCAGGCTGCAATGACATGATTCCTCTTCTCAAAGTCCCTAAATTTTGCTTCTCAGTGTGTATTGCTCTCAGTTATTTTTAAAATTTTTTTTGTTTCTTCATTATTGGCCTTTGGAAAACTGAAAGTGTTGATATTCACTATTTCACTGTCACCTAGATCTGAGAAACTTTTCTGCATCCAAAAACTCCTCTCACTTATTTTTCTTTTGCTGATATATTGCACAAGTCATAGTAGAGAGAGAGAAGGCAGAGTCAACCTGGGGAGCATTTGACAGGTGGCATTGAAAATCTACTGCTTGACAATATTGATTCTTCCTATCCATGAACATGGAACGTTTTTCCATTTGTTTATGTCATCTGTGATTTCTTTAAACAATGTTTTGTAGTTCTCATTGTGGAGATCTTTCATCTTCCCGGTTAGATGTATTGCTAGGTAGCTTATTCTTTTGTGGCTATTGTGAATGGAATTGAATTCTTGATTTGGCTATCAGCTTGGATGTTGTTGGTGTACAAGAATGCTACTAATTTTTGTACATTGATTTTGTATCCTGAAACTTTGCTGAAATGGTTTATCAGATCAGGGAGCTTTGGGGCAGAGACTATGGGGATTTGCAGGTATAGAAGCATATCATCTACCAACAGAGATAGTTTGACTTCCTCTCTTTCTATTTGGATGCTTTTTATTTTATTTCTTTCTCTTGCTTGATTGCTCTGCCCAGTGCTTCCAATTGTATGTTGCATAGGAATGGTTAGAGAAGGCAACTTCTTCTTGTGCCGGTTTTCAAGGGGAATGCTTCCAGCTTTCGCCTGTTCAGTATGATGTTGGCTGTGGGTTTGTCATTAATGGCTCTTACTATTTAGAAGTAAGTTCTATCAGTGCCTAGTTTGTTGAGGGTATTGAACATGAAGGGAGGTTGAATTTTTTCAAAAGCCTTTTCTATGTCTATTGAGATAATCATGTGGTTTTTGTTTTTAGTCCTGTTTATATGATGAATCACATTATTGATTTGCGTATGTTGAACCAATGAGGCATACCAGGGATAACACCTACTTGATCATGGTGAATTAGCGTTTTAATGTGCTGCTAGATTTGGTTTTTCAGTATTTTATTGATCATAAACACTTATGTTGATCAAGAATATTGGCCTGACGTTTTCTTTTGTTGTTGCTGTGTCTCTGCCTCTTTTTGGTATCACCATGATGCTGGCCTTATAGAATGAGTTAGGGAGGGGTCCATTCTTTTCAATCTTTTGGAATAATTTCAGTAGGAATGGCACCAGTTCTTCTTTTATACTTCTAATAGAATTTGGCTGAATCTATCTGTTCCTGGGCTTTTTTTGTTGGTAGGCTTTTTTTTATTATTATTACAGATTCGGTTTTGGAACTTATTATTGGGCTGTTCAGATTTCCAACTGCTTCCCGGTTCAGCCTTGGGAGCGTGTATGTGTCCAGGAATTTATCCATTTCTTCTGGTTTTCTAGTTTGTGTTCATAGAGGTATTTATTGTAGTCTCTCTAACGGTTTTTTTTGTTTTGTTTTTGTTTGTTTGTTTTACTTCCCTGTGGGGTCAATTGTAATGTCCCCTTTGTCATTTCAAATTGTATTTATTTGGATCTTCTCTCTTCTTTTATTATTCCAATTAGTGATCTGCCTTATTAGTTTTTTCAGAAAAGAAACTTCTGGATTCATATATCTTTTGTATGTTTTTTCACGTCTTATTTTCCTTCAGTTCAGCTCTGATTTTGATTACTTCTTTTTTTCTGTTAGGTTTGAGGTTCGTTTGCTCTTGTTTCTCTAGTTCCTCTAGTTATGATGTTAGGTTGTAATTTAATCTCTTCCTAACTCTTTGATGTGGACATTTAGTTCTAGAAACTTCTTCATCGAGTTAGCAAAAGCTATTTTAAAAATTAATATAGAACCACAAAGGAACCCAAATAGCTCAGGTAATCCTAAGCAAAAAGAATAAAGCTGGAGACATCAAGTTACCCAACTTCTAACTACACTACAAGGATACAGTAACCAAGACAGCATGCTACTGAGACAAAAACAGACACATATACCACAGGAAGAGAATAGAGAGCCCAGAAATAAGGCCACACAGCTGTAACCATCTGATCTTCAACAAAGTTGACAGAAGCAAGTGAAGGGGAAAGGACTCCCTAATCAATAAATGGTGCTAGAATAAGTTTCAAAAAATTTCTTGATTTCTGACTTTATTTTATTATTTAACCAAAAGTCATTCAGGAGCAGGTTGTTTAATTCCATCCAATTGTATAACTTTGAGTGATTTTTTTGGTATTGATATGTTTATCTATTTCTCTGTGATCTGAGACTGTAGTTGGTATGATTTCAGGTTTTTTGTTAATTTGCTGAGGATTTTTTATGTGCAGAAGATTGAAACTTGATTGCTTACATTTACTGTATATAAAAATCAACTGAAGAGGTACTAAAGATTTAAATGTAAAACCTGAAACTATAAAAATCCTAGAAGAATATCTAGAAAACCTAGGAAATACCATTCTGGACATAGGTCCTGACAAAGGCTTTATGACAAAGACTCCGAATGCAATTGCAACAAAACAAAAAATTAGCAAATGAGACCTAATTATCTAAAGAGCTTCTGCATAGCAAAAGAATCATTCAATCAATAGAGTATACAAGTAATCTACTGAATCAGAAAAATATTTGCACATTATGTATCCAACAAAGGTTTAATATTCAGAATCCCTAAGGAACTTAAATAGATATGTAAGCAAAAAACAAACAACCCTATTAAAAACTGAGCAAAGGACATGAATAGGTGCTTTTCAAAAGAAAACATATACGCAACAAACAAGCATATGAAAAAAAGCTCAAAGTCACTAACTATTAGAGAAACGCAAATCAAAACTACAATGGGATACCATCTCACGCCAGTCACAATGGCTGTTACTAGAAATTCCAATCATGACAGATGCTGGTAAGATTGTGGAGCAAAGGGAATGCTTATACACTGTTGGTGGAAGTTCAAATTAGTTTAAAATTTACATTTTAAAATTTTAAATGTAAATCACTGTGGCAATTCTTTAAACAACTTAAAATAGAATTACCATTTGACCTAGAAATTTCATTATTGGATATATACTCAATGGAATATAAATTATTCTAACATAAAGACACATGTGTGCATGTGTTCATTGAGGTACTCTTCACAGTAGCAAAGGCATGGAATCAACCTAAATGTAGACTAGATAAAGAAAATGTGGTATGTAAACAGCATGGAATACTACACAGCCATAGAGATCATGTCTTTTGCACCAAGGTGGATGCAGCTGGAGGCCATTATTCTAAGCAAATTAACGCAGTGACAGAAAACCAAGTACAGCATATTCTCACTTAAAAGTAGGAGCTAAATAATGATAACACACGAGCATAAAGAGGGGAACAACAGATAATGGGGTCTCCTTGAGGAAGGAGGATGGTAACAGGTGGATGAGGATAAAAAAAAATTACCAATTCATCACTATGCTTATTATCTGGGTAACAAAATAATCTGCATACCAAACCCCAATGAGAAGCCATTTACCTATATAACAAATCGGCACACATATCCCTGAACCTAATTTTTTTTTAAAGCTACAATTTGTATTGTCAACTCACACAAAAACACACTCTAAATAAAATACTTGGCAAATTTCTGAGTCATGTGGCTTCTAAATAAAGTATGATGTAATAAACTTAAAATATATTTATTTTTCCTATTTTTATATATCAAGAAAGCACGTCACAAACAATAATTAAGTGACTAAAGAGGACATTAAAATATGTGAAAATGAATCAAATTCCTTTATCATACAGGATCTAAAAGTCTACTAAGATGTTACTTTTCTCCAAGCCAAACTTTATATACTATTTATGGATTATTTTTCTAGCAAACTTTAATAAATCATAATAGACACAATATTTGCTCTCATTTTATAAAGGAATAAGTATCAGATGTTCCAGGATTGATTTTTTTTGTCATTTTGTTATACAATATTGAATAATACATTCAAGCTCTGCTGTAGGAGAAATACATTTATGGGAGCAAAGGTTTATTAGGAAATGTGAATGTAATTTACAGTGGCTTTATCTAGAAGCTTACTTGTAGAGGGATATTGATAAACTTTAAAAAATTATGACATTGAATTATTTCTCTGCATTTTTTTAACATTAATGACCATTTATGTAGGTGTTTTTAGAGTATATTTATATTTGTTTCAGAAAAATTATTATATTATGTATTAGGAAATCACCTTCTCCTAAGTATAATAGAGAACACAAACCTGACATGAATAGAACTAAGGGTTCTAGGTTAGCCAGAAACAAAGGCAGTGATTTGCCAACCCTGGGAACAAGGGGAAGTCATTGTGAGCTACGGGGAAAATAATAATAAAAATAATAAGGTGGTTAGTTGTCAGCCACAATATTCACCCAGTGCAAGTCATAATTTGTATCCAAATATATTATTTTGATGTCATAATAGTCAATGAAGGAATTTGTCTGCTTTAATATTTTGAAATATAAACTCTGTATCCCTTTTCATTGGTGTAAGCCTTCCAGCTATAATGGAATCATTAACCAATGAGGTGCAATTTCAACAGTTTTGATTGTCTCTAAAATGATTATTCAGTCAGCCAGGTGGATATTTTGCAATAATTGCACTGGGATGTCTCCCACCTGATGGGTTGTTTTCTCTCTGACTGATTCTGTTAGAAAATGTTATTTTCTAGCTAACTCTTCTGCCCTAAAATATCTTGTGTTGGCTCAGGTTACCAAACACTGATTTGTTTAGATACTGCTCTGTTGAATATAATTGTGCTGAAATGACCTGCTTCAGTTTTAGAAGGTGAGTGTGTTTATGGTCATAAAAATGTAATCTTAGAGACCAGCAAATAACTCCAAGTAACTTCAGCCAGATCTATTGCTGGTGCCAAATTATCAGTAGTTAGCTTACCTTACTTATTTCAAAGACAGGTCTTTTTGGCACAAGAGAAATTGTACTACTCATCCTAAAAGTCTATTTGGTACTTTTATTTAAAGATTTGTTATGTAATGGTATTTATCAAGTAATTTTAAAGTTTTCGCCACTCATTCAGCTTTCCAGACTATTTTTGGAAGATATCTCATTAACAACAGTCATGTAAGATTAATGGGGAGGCAAATTTTGAAATTATTTCTGATATTCTTCTGATATGGATCTTCCATAAAATATAATAACTGAATGTCTATTTTATCAAGCAATAATTACTGTTTTAACATTTAATAAAGATAATCTGTATAAGTGAAATATATATCCGCCAAAACACAAAAATTTTTAATTGATTCTCAAATTATTAATGCATTATTTTACAAGAACTTTGTATAATTTACTCATGGCAAACGTCCCTTTTAAGGAAAACAGTCTATGCATTAGTTTCAGGAGAAAGAATGTTTTCTTCAAGAGATTATTGTGTTTCAGTTTTTTGCATATACAATATCTGCTGAAGACATTCATGTTCATGAATCTATTGTATTTTTCTTCTAAAGGATTTAGTGTCATAAAACAAAAACAAACATCTAAACAAACAAAAGCAGTGCACTTTCAGAGGTCACATGACCAGTGTCTGAAAGCCCAACCTCCATCATTTTCAAATTGTGTGTTAGTGTGTGTGTGTGTGTGTGTGTGTGTTTATGTGGGCATGTATACATGCTCCTGAGTGAACTTGTGTAAGAAAGATGTGGATATATGGGGTTGTGTGAAGATGAGAATTATTACGATAAACACCCTAGAACTGGTATTAAACATCAGGCTTATGAGAATAATGTTTCAGACTCATGTGTATGAACCCAACAAACATTTAGTTTTTTAAGAGGACTATCTGCTGTAGTTAGAAAGTGATGGCGAGGAGGCAATACTTGGAGCCTGGGCTGTTTCTTAGGCTAAACAAAAGGGCTTATGTTTGAATTCTTTATACTTCTGTACAATTATTTTACCCAGAACTCTGAGGCAATACAAGCCTCTAGTATAATTTGTAAACATATATAAACATGCTTTATGAGGCTTGAATTTGGGGACTCTAGCCTATCATTTTGTAGGCTTCACCACTAACCTAAATTCAATGGTCTTGTGAAAGTTCTGAAAACCATTGCCCTCTGGGCTACAAAAATTGAATACCCTGACAAAAATACACGTGTGTATTCTGATGTAATTTTTCTAACATAATTACTATATTATAAAAATGTGTTTCACTAAAGGAATTGCAGTTAATTGCAAACTCTCATGAAATATCCTGTATTTAAACATGTATAGTTTTCTAAAGGATATTTTAATTGGCAGCTATGTGTGCTCATATTTTGTCCACTCACGTAGCTACTAAGGAATATTTAGAGATCTTTGAACCAACTAATTTTTCAGGGATTTTTGCAGTTGTTTTTACATAATAAACATGCTTTCTATAGATGACTCAAATCAATAACTTAGAAATCACAAAATTGTACTTTTAATAAGTTTAACCCTTTTTTATTATGCTTTAAGTTCTGGGATACATGTGCAGAACGTGCAGGTTTGTTACATAGGTATACGCGTGCCATGGTGGTTTGCTGCACTCATCAACCCATCATCTAAATTAGGTATTTCTCCTAATGCTATCCCTCCTCTAGCCCCCCACCCCCGACAGGCCCTGGTGTGTGATCTTCCCCTCCCTGTGTCTATGTGTTCTCATTATTCAACTCCCACTTATGAGTGAGAACATGTGGTGTTTGGTTTTCTGTTCCTGTATTAGTTTGCTGAGAATGATGGCTTCCAGCTTCATCTATGTCCCTGCAAAGGACATGAACTCATACTTTTTTATGGCTGCATAGTATTCCATGATGTATATGTGCCACATTTTCTTTATCCAGTCTATCAAAATGTTGCTAATATTTATAAACCCTTAGATTTATGTATGTCTTAATGGGGAATAGTATTCTTATTTGATAATATATTGAATTATAAAGCTTAAGGTACAATTATGTGTAAATAAATATATTTTATATATATGCCTGAAAAGCTAACATTACAGAGAAAATGGACAATGGGATCAACTTTAATGAGACTGTTGTATTTTTCTCAATTTTGGTCTTCCTGTCTCTCTCTGGAGAGTGACTATAAATTTCAGCTCTGCCCTGACAGGGCTCGAGGGAAGGTGGTCATGGATGTTTACAGCATGTCTTTCACAGGAAACTTTGTTATCCTGGCAGACAGCCTAATGCCCAGGTGCTCAACCTGTGACCAGGTGTCCCTCTCACCTGGTTGATATCATCAGATGCCCTTGTGGTTTTTTGTCTGACCTGTGTCCAGTTTGAATACCAAGATAGACACTCTAGGAGAGGCCTGACAGGGAGGAGAGTTAGATTTGAGTGTGTCTGTCTGGCAAGACACAGAGGAGGCAGCATGACAAAACACATGAAGGAATAGAAGCACTTTATGACTCATAGATCCATGAGAGAAGAGGACTGCCCCTGATGACCCATGGGAAGTCCAGAGATAGCTGGGTGCTTGACCAGGGGGAGAGGGAGAGGGAGAGGGAGAGGAAGAGGGAGAGAGACCGGACCTGTGGGACTTTAATAAGGTCCCTGAGCATTATCTTTAGGCTTTCCCTAGGGTTATAAATTGGCTAGGTTAAGGAAATCACACCCAAAAAGAGAAAATTATTTACATGACTCTAATGTTGACCATTAGGTTTTATTGTGGTTAGCAGCTGTGGGTGTGTTGTTTTGGCCTCACGGGAGTGAGGAACAAGCAGACTATATTGCAAAGGAGAAGTTTCAACTAGACCAAGTATGACAGGTACAACTGGGTTTCAAATAACTATGTTGGCCTAAAAATAGATGCTGAGGCAGCCACTATATTAAACACATTTATGACAGAGACATGTTTATAAAATATATGGTCAGAAAAGATTGGAAATAATGAGACAAATGATCGTAAGCATTTTGGTGGGAACCATAATGAGGCCTATGGGTCAGTGAAGGCGTGGATAGAGAGGAGCTGTGGAGGCCGAAACCTGAAACCTCACTGGGGAAGCGGGTCAATGTGAAGCTTGGCTTAAGAGGATTAATCGAAGGAGATGGCAGAGAACAGCCCAGGGGCAGTGAGATATTTCCAAATCTATGGAACTGTCCTCTAAAATAATGCATTTGCAAAGGCCTTATCTGCATTTTCAGGTGTGATTATTGATCATTCATTTACATGTTATAACACTTCTCTCCTGGAAGTCTCTCTACTCCAAGAGAAACAAACATACAAACATGTACATGTGTGCTTGTTACAGGTTTTCTTAGTCTATAATCCATTTCCAAATATCCTTGAAATAAAACAACAATGGAAAGAAGAAGAAAATACTTCTTCATATATATTAACTATATATAACTATAGATTTTATCTCTTATGAGATTAGCTTGGTTCTTTTAATTTTTACACATTTCCCGTGTTTGATGTAACAAACCAAAACTGAACTTTAACTGAAGACTTACATTCTAATTCTACCTTCTGCAGTTACTTTCATGAAAGTAACTTAATTTCACCAAGATTTAGTGTTCTAATATTGATAGAAGAGAGTCGTATCTTATCGTATATTGCAAAAATCAAATATCACGATTTTGCACAACACTTGACACATACTTCTAGAATTATTTCTATTTTTCTTATAAATTTTTACATTTTCAGGACTGTTATCTAGATGAGTTATACCCATATGGCGGTATGTACAATATATTTGTGACTGACACTATTTGATGATTTAATGCCCTGCTTTGACAAGATCATACATGTATAATTTTACTGTTATTAAATATTTTGAACATCACTCTTCTATGTTTATTTAATTGATTAATGAGAGGAAAACAGTTGTTCATAGATGAGAATGGGGTGAAATGGGACAAGGTGTGGAAAGTCAAAGATGGGGACTAACAAGGCCACATCTAGCTTATAGGTCTGGATAGCCTATATTTATTTCCTGTATTGCTTTTTAAGGTAAGAGTAGGGTAATACTGAATCTTGTTTTGTTTTTTAATTTTTCTTTTTTTTTCTTTTTTTTAGTAGATGTATTTATAAGCTCAAATACTCACAAATGAAAAAAGAAGAGTGATTAATGTTAAATGCAGGCATATGAACAAGATTATGTCTGAGGTTTTTTCCAAGATTAAAATTTTGTGAACACCTTTCTAAGCGTTTGCTGCTTTATAGGCATAATTAGACTGGGAGGTTTAGATAGTATTCTAGGTACTTAAGAAAAAACGTGAACAAGACATATATGTTACAAAAGAGTTTAATGTCTAATTACAAAGTTCTCCATATATACTTAAAAATGAAACTTCAATTATTATTAAATTTTATATATCATACAAGAGGCAGTATCAGAAATTAAACTACAAGTCCAGTTTATTTATTTATTTATTTTATTTTATTTTATTTTATTGTTTAGATTATACTTTAAGTTCCGGGATACATGTGCAGAATGTGCAGGTTTGTTACACAGGAATACATGTGCCATGGTGGTTTGCTGCACCTATCAACCCATCATCTAGGTTTTAAGCCCCACATGAATTAGGTATTTGTCTTTATGCTGTCCCTCCCATTACCCCCTACCCCTCACAAGTTCAATATTTGTTATGGTGCTTATTTAGGCTGTAGTCTTGGATATATGTCCTTGCACATATAATTTACCACCACTACTCCTGCCATACACTACTCTGTGGTAAATGGTATGTACAAGAGCATATATTCAAGGCATATATCCACTCTGGTAAATGAGGCAAAAAGTATTCATGGTAAAAATCGAAACAACATTTGATAGTTTAAAAAGATAAACTAGTATTTCCTGCTCTAAGAAAAATATCTTTTCTAATAATTTGTTTATTGCTGATTTTTATTAAACTATTCACCTTTTGTTTTTTGACTAAATAAAATATATATAATATAAAAATAAAATAATTGTTTAGATGAGCTATTCTACTAAATAAAATACATATGATACAAAAATAAAAGCACTGATTGTCTAGATGAGATACATGAGTTTATACCAAAAAAAGATGATTTCCTACAAGAAGAGTTTACTTCTGGTTTTTCATTTATCTAAATACTACTTATGTAAGTTTTCTGTAAAAAATCAAAGGAAAACACAAGTAATTTTTTCAATATAAAAGTATTTAGCTATAACTCACATTAGTTTAAAAAACAGTGGAATAGAATACTAAAACTGCAAATCAATTATGATCTCTAAAATATTTTAAGAAAGAATGCTATTTTAAATATTTTAGTAAAATATATTTTAGTACAGAAATCATCAGAGGGTTAACCAGGTAAATCTTCTGTCAATAATCTGTTATTATTTTTATTCTATGAGGATAAAAAAGGTAAATATTCGTGTTTTCTAGTGAATTGTGTTTTTTTGTGTATTGTATTTCTATTGCATTTAAGAACCAGTAAATATTCAAAAGGTTACACAACCCATTCTGAAAACTCCTACTAAAATTCTTGTGAAACAGAAGAATGACTGCATAATACAAAGTTAAAAGAATAAATACATCCTATATCCTGCTGTGATAGTCAAATTTCAGTTTTCTTTTTAATCTCTGTGAACAATCTAATTAGACACAATTGATTTCTAGGTCCTTAAGTAGGAGTTATTTAATTGAGGGAGTAGTGATTTTTCATAAGAAAGTGGTTATCTTGAGCTGTCCAATGTAGTAGCCATTAGCTATATATGGCTATTTAAATGTATATTAAGTAAAATTAAATAAACCTAGAATTTCAGTTACTCAGCTATATTACAAGCGCTCAACATCCACATATGCCCAGTGGCCACCATATGGGACACAGAAGAGTGATAGAACATTTCCATCATCGCAGGAAGTTCCACCCGGAAGCACTAGTAGAAACCTTCTGTTGCATTGTATCTACCTCGACAGGTTTTAGTTGCAGAGCTGAAATTCCCGATATGTTAATGCATATCATGTAACAGCCTTTAACATATTAAGCATAGTTATGTTTACTTTCTTGTGTGACAGACCCCCTTCTTTTGATAGGCCTTTAGTGTGAGGAGTTGACATGATCTAGTCAGGAGTTGAGCTTATTTTCATTTTTGTTGTCATTGTGAACCTCCGCATGCTTCAAACTCTTCTAATGTTTCATGTATTTTGGATGATTGCTGGGTTGCTTGACTCATTTTCTCAATATTTCTCTTCTACCTCAGCTTTAGGTTTCCCCTATAATCCTGCACCTCAAAGATGCTCTTTCTTCCTTCTTCTTATTCCTTAATAGTGGACTAAAGTTTTTTGTTACTTGGAATTCTATTTGCTCATTTCAGCCTTAGTCTTAGGCATGTGGTCCATCCCTGGGTGTTAGGAATGAGAGAAAATCAATATTTCTCACATCTGCAATGATAGGGGATCTGCTATGGTCTGGGTCCCAAAGCCCAAAGTTTCTCTTTCTATTTATTTCCTCCAGTGGTAATGGTCTTCACCCTATACCCTGAGTATGGTAACGTTTACCATCCTACCCCAGTGTCTTCAGGCTTTTGTTCAGAAGGAAAAATAAGAGAGTGGGTCTCGGATCCCTCCAGTCAATTCATCCTGCAGTGGCTGTTCCTTGGCTCTCCTAAGCCTGCCATGTGTGCGAAGCTTTCTCTAGTCCCCTGCCTTGTGACCAATCTTTCTAGTGAGCGCCTGTGAGATGTATTGCTAAAAGATGTAGGTGGGTGTAATTTCCCTTGTTTTTTATGCTCCAGTATCAGTATACTCTCAGCCTATCCCACATTCAGCTTTGAAACATTCATTAAATATTTTACCTGAATTATTATTACTAGTTTGTATAGCGCCCAGAATCTGCCTCAGGTAACAAGAGCTTACATTCACATCTCTCCCTGGTAGTGTCTCTCTTGTCTTAGGTTTAATGCTAGTTTTTTGCTGTGTGACCTCAGGTATCTGATGGGATGAAGAAAAACTATGGTTACATAGATTATATCGCTTTTCTTCTTGTCATAGTGATTGGAGGTATGTTCCTTTCAGATTTTTCTATCTTAAGTAGAAGTTGGGAGAAAAATGTACATTATCATGTAAAATAATATATTTCTTTTAATTTCAGCTCATTTCTAGTGCCCTACAGTAAAATATACTTCTGGTCCTGTTTTTTTATTATTATTATTTTATTTTTTATTTTTCTTCTCTTTCCAAAATACTTTCCTCTTCTCTCTTTTTTTTTTAAGCTAGACATGGGTGTGGAGCTGGTTGACTGTGCACTGGTTATCAACTTGTCTGAGCCTAGTGAGACAGAACACACTCATAATCAACAAATTATATAAATCATGCTCATTACATACAGATAGGCAGGAAGAGACAACAGCAGTCTGGGATTTATTGTGAGCCAGTACTTCAAGGGTCAGAAAGCTGCCTGGGGCAGATGAAGTCTTTGCTGCATGTTTCCCACTTGAACTGCAGCTGAGGGACCCTGAAAGGTATCCCACTCTGGGTTATATACCTTGGGGTAATATGAATCACTGAGCTAAAGCACTGAGTTACATCCTTTTCTGGGAGGAAGCTAAAACACATCCCGGGCCATTACAGCCAGCTCTACTCTTATTTCAGGATGTTGCATTCCCAGTACATTTTATAGTTATTCTTGAGAATTTCAAACTAGAAAGTGGGGAGAGCCAGGCTGGTCAATCTAAGACCACCCAGGAAACTATCCTGTAATGGGTTCTGATGTTGATTAACAAAGTGTGATATATATACTTACGTTACAAAGAAAAATAATTATTTTGGGGCGAAATTTGATTTTACTTATTTTTATTCTCTTTTCCCCACACAAGTACATGCTCAGAACTACACACAGACACACACACACAACTCATCATTATCTATGTTTAGTTCTTTAGAGGTTTGATCAGAACATTCAGTGACAGCCCCACATTGTGTGCATATTTTATTTTTATTCAATATTCAGTAGGAAAAAGACACGCTCTTTTGGATATCTGTCTGATGTATTTGTATTATTTTGTATTTAGTATAAATTCACATTTCTTCTGCTGGGATGGTGTCTTTAAGTTTGTTTTTGTTTTTGTTTGTTTGTTTGGTTTGGTTTCCATTGTTAATAAAAAAATTACTGTATTGTCCTCTAGTGTAAATATAATAATATGGCAAAATAATGCAGTTATAATAATCTAGAACTTGTGGGGTTTTTTTAATTACTCCATAAGCCAGGACTAAAGAGATTCTTCTGGATTTTAGTCTCTCATCCTACCCCAGATTGCTCACTTATGGGTTTTGGATTACATTGAGTACAGGTCAGAGGATGCCAGAGAGAGAAAAGTGGTACACTCACAACTGGTTTGTTACAGTACAAATTCTGGTTTTCTTCCCTGATTTGTCTGCTCATATTTTCTCTTTAGAGTTTTCAAATAATTGTCCTCTGAATTAAGGGAGGTGTGTATTTACTCCATCTTATCTGTTTCTGAAACACTGGTTTTACATTTTAAAGATTTGTAGAATTATATACTGTTTTATAACTCAATTAGGCACTTCCAATTTTGTTTAGATGTTATAACTATAAAAAAGAATCACATATTACAATATTATATTTGATAGATACTATTTTTAATCTAACCAATTAGTGTAACTGGATCCATAGATTTAGAATCATATGCCTTTAAATCTTTTATCCAGTCAAAGAATAATCTTTTAATTCTCAGTTCTTAATGTATTTTCTTTTCTTTTCTAAGAGAAAGGAGTTAAAACAGTTGACCTGAAATCCATTTACTAACTCTTCTAGAGGAATGCATCTAGGGAAATAAGATAAGAAGCCATAGGAGCTAGTCTAATCTTCTTGTCAATTGCACTGGTAAAGAAAGAGATTAATAATATTTGCTCAGAGAAAGGTACCTCATCTCTGAAATGCTGTTAGTATAATATCCCTGGCTAACATGTGGTATCTAGTAAGTAAAACCCAGGACCTATAGTTCTGTGAAGTAGAGCTCCTTGAAAAATATCACTTGAGATACACAATTCTCTAGGTAGTATAAAATGTCTTTGATGTCCTATACCATTCTATGCCTTGTCAGAATCCCTTGATTTTCTTATTCTTACAATTAATTAGTAAAGTTTGGTCTGATTCATATGAGTCTGAACTGACAATCAAATCCTATCTAGTCACACACATTTCCACTTTTAATGTTTTCAGGTCACATTCACTTATAACTCTTTTTTACTTGCCTCCCTATTTGATTTTATTAGATACATTTTTCACTTTGCTGGGGTTGTTTCTTGAGTGATTACTTTTTCCCCATGAAAGAGATGTTCTTTAAGGGCTTAGAACTTCTTCACAGTTGGTGTGTTCCTGAAACTCACTAGGGACAAAAGGTATATAAAACTTTAAAAGTGTGTTTCTTACCCTGTTTCCAAAATTAAAGGTTGATGCTGAGGGTGCAGGAATAATTCTATGCTGAATAAAATGAACTTATTTAGTTCCAAGTTAGACAAAATTACTTAGATATCATATGCATGTGATGATATTATGTATTTTTTTCAAAATTTTAGTAGAAGTATCTGTTTTTGAGAAGTGTCTGTTCATGTCTTTTGCACACTTAAAAAAATTATTTATTTGAGGTTGTTGAATTTTTAAAATTCTTTATAGATTATGGATATTAGACCTATGTCAGATGCAAAGTTTGTGAATATTTTCTCTCATTTTTCTTATCTGTTTGCTCTGTTGATAGTTACTTTTGCTGTGAAAAAAACTCTTTGGTTTAATTAGGTTTCACTTGTACATTTTGGGTATAGCCTAGGTTTTCTTCAAGGATTTTTATAGTTTGAGTTCTTACATTTGAATCTTAATCCATCTTGAGTTAATTTCCATATATGGTGAAAGGTAAGTGTACAGTTTCATTCTTTTGCATATGGCTAGCTAGTTAAACCGGTACCATTTATTGAATCAAGAGTCCTTTCCCAATTGTTTGTTTTTGTCAGCCCTATGGAAGATCAGATGCTTGTAAGTGTACAGCTTTATTTTTGCCTTGTCTTTTCTGTTCCATAGGTCTATGTGTCTGTTTTTGCACCAGTACCATGCTATTTTGGTTACTGTAGCCTCATACTATAGTTTGAAGTTCATTAGTGTGATGCCTCTGGGTTTGTTCTTTTTGCGTAGGATTTCTTTGGCTATTGCTCTTATTTGGTTCCATATGAATTTTAGAATAGTTTTTTATTCTAATTTGTGAAGAATGATGTTGGTTGTTTGATAGAAATATCATTGAATCTGTAATGACCATTGTAATAATATTAATTCTTTCAATCTATGAGCATGGGATAATCTTCTATTTGTTTTTATCATCATTGATTTCTTTCAGTGTTTTGTAGTTCCCCTCATAGAGATCTTTCCCCTCCTTGGTTAGCTGCAGTCGTATTTCATTTTTGTGTGTGTGGCTATTGTAAATGAGATTGTGTTCTTGATTTGATTCTCAGCTTGATATAATTGGTATATAGAAATGCTACTACTTTTTGTACATTGATTTTGTATTCTGAAAACTTGATACATTTATTTGACAGTTCTATTAGACTTTTGGTGGAGTCTTTAGTGTTTTATAACTATAGAATCAGCAGCAGCAAAGAGATAGTGTGATTTTTTCTTTTCCCATTTATGTATGCCTTATTTCTTTCTCTTGTCTGATTACTCTGGCTATGAATTCCAGTACTATGTTGAATAGGAGTAATGCAAGTGTGCATCCTCATCTTATTCCATTTCTCAAGGGTAATGGTTCCAGCTTTTAATCATTCAGTATGATCTTGGCTATGGATTTTTTGTAGAAGGCTCTTATTATTTTGAGGTATGTTTCTTCTATGTCTAGTCTGTTGAAAGTTTTTATCACAAAGTGATGTTGAATTTTATTGACAGCTTTTTCTGCATCTATTGAGGTGATCATATAGTTTTTGCTTTTAATTCTGTTTATGTTGTGAATTACGTTTGTTGATTTGCATAGACTGAATAAGTCATACATCCCAAGGATAAAGTGTATTTGATAATTGTGAATTAACTTACTGATATCCTGCTGGGTTCGGTTTGCCAGTATTTTGCAGAGAATTTTTGTGCACGTGTTTATCAGGAATATTGGCCTGAATTTTTCTTTCCTCATCATGTCTCTGTCATATTTTAGGTTGATGCTGGCTTCATATAATGAATTAGGGAGTAATCGTTTCTCCTAATTTTTTTCAGGATGTTTTCAGTAGGATTGGTAGCAATTTTTTATACATCTGATATAACTTAACTGTGAATCCATCTTGCCTAGGGCTCTTTTTGGTTGGTAGGTTTTATATTACTGATTCAATTTCAGCGCTCGTGAACGACTCCTGGGTAAATAACAAAATTGAGGCAGAAATCAAGAAGTTCTTTGAAACCAATGATAACAAAGAGACAATGTTCCAGAATCTTTGGGACACAGCTAAAGCAGTGTTAAAAGGGAAATTTATAGCACTAAATGCCCACATCAGAAAGCTGGAAAGATCTCAAATCAACCCCCTAACATCACAATTAAAAGAATTAGAGAAGAAAGAGCAAACAAATTCAAAAGCTAGCAGAAGACGAGAAATAACCAAGATCAGAGCAGAACTGAAGAAGCTAGAGACACAAAAAACCCTTCAAAAACTCAATGAATCCAGAAGCTGGTGTTTTGAAAAAAATTAACAAAATATACAGACTGCTAGCTAGACTAATAAAGAAGAAAAGGCAGAAGATTCAAATAGACACAATAAAAAATGAAAAAAAGTATATCACCACTGTTTGCACATAAATGCAAACTACCATTAGAGAATACTATAAACACCTCTATGCAAATAAATTAGAAAGTCTAGAAAAAATTGATAAATTCCTGGACAAATACACCCTACGAGACTAAATCAGGAAGAAGTCAAATCCCTGAAGAGATCAATAACAAGTTCTGAAATTGAGTCAGTAGTTAATAGCCTAACAACCAAAAAAATCCCAGGACCAGATGGATTCACAGCCCAAATCCACCAGAGTTACAAAGAGGAGCTCGTACCATTCCTTCTGAAATTATTCCAAATAATTGAAAAGGAGGGACTCCTCCTTAACTCATTCTAGGAGGCCAACATCATCCTGATACCAAAACCTGGCAGATACACAACAAAAAAAGAGCACTTCAGACCAATATCCTTGATGAACATTAATGCAAAAATCCTCAATAAAATACTGGCAAACCAAATCCAGAAGCACATCAAAAAGCTTATCCACCATGATCAAGTTGGCTTCATACCTGGGATGCAAGTCTGGTTCAACATAAGCAAATCAATAAATGTAATCCATCACAAAAACAGAACCAATGACAAAAACCACGTGATTATCTCAATAGATGCAAAAAAGGCCTTCAACAAAATTCAACATCCCTTCATGTTAAAAACTCTCCTTGAAGAGGTCCTTCACATCCCTTGTAAGTGGTATTCCTAGGTATTTTATTCTCTTTGTAGCAGTTGTAAATGGGAGTTCACTCATGATTTGGCTCTCTGTCGGTTATTGGTTTATAGGAATGCTTGTGATTTTTGCACAGTAATTTTGTATCCTGAAACTTTGCTGAAGTTGTGCATCAGCTTAAGGAGTTTATAGGCTGAGACGACGGGGTTTTCTAAATATACAATCATCTCATCTGCAAACAGAGATAATTTGACTTCCTCTCTTTCTGTTTGAATACTTTCTATTTATTTCATTTGCCTGATTGCCCTGGCCAGAACTTCTAATACTATGTTGAATATGAGTGGTGAGAGAGGGCATACTTGTATTGTGCTAGTTTTCAAAGGGAATTCTTCCAGCTTTTGCCCATTCAGTATGATATTGGCTGTGGGATTTTCATAAATAGCTCTTATTATTTTGAGATAGTTCCATCAATACCTAGTTTATTGAGTGTGTTTAGCATGAAGGGGTGTTGAATTTTATCAAAGGCCTTTTCTGCATCTATTGAGATAATCATGTGGTTTTGTCATTGATTCTGTTTATGTCATGAATTACGTTTATTGATTTGGATATGTTGAACCAGCCTTGTATCCCAGGGATGAAGCTGATTTGATTGTGGTGGATAAGCTTTTTAATGTGCTGCTGAAATCATTCTACTATAAAGACACATGCACACATATGTTTATTGCAGCACTATTCACAATAGCAAAGTCTTGGAACCATCCCAAATGTCCATCAATGATAGACTGGATAAAGAAAATGTGGCACATATACACCATAGAATACTCTGCAGCCATACAAAAGAATGAGTTTATGTCCTTTTTAGGAAACCATCATTCTCAGCAAACTAACACAGGAACAGAAAACCAAACACCACATGTTCTCACTCATAGGTGGGAGCTGAACAATGAGAGCTTATGGGCATAGGGAGGGGAATATCACGCACTGGGGCCTGTAAGGGTGTGGATGGCAAGGGAAGGGATAACATTAGGAGAAATACCTAATGTAGATGACGGGTTGATGGGTGCAGGAAACCACCATGGCACATGTATACCTATGTAACAAACCCGCACGTTCTGCACATGTATCCCAGACCTTAAAGTATAATAGAAATTAATTAAATAATAAATAAATTAATAAAAATAAATTTTAAAAACTCTCAATAAACTAGGTATTGATGGAACATATCTCAAAATAATAAGAGCTCTTTATGACAAACCCATAGCCAATATCATACTGAATGGGCAAAAGCTGGAAGCATTTCCTTTGAAAACCAGCACAAGACAAGGATGCCCTCTCTCACTCCTCCTGTTCAACATAGTATTAGAAGTTCTGGCCTACACACTTAGGCAAGAAGAAGAAAAAAAGGTATTCAAATAGGAAGAGAGGAAGTCAAATTGTCTCTGTTTGCAGATGACATGATCCTATATATAGAAACCCCATTGTTTCAGTCCCCAAACTCCTTAAGTTGATGAGCAACTTCAGCAAAGTCTCAGGATACAAAATCAATGTGCAAAAATCACAAGAATTCCCATACACCAACAATGGAAAAGCAGAGAGCAAAATCATGAATGAACTCCCATTCACAATTACTATTACTACAAGGAGAATAAAATACCTAGGAATACAGATTACAAGGGATGTGAAGGACCTCTTCAAGGAGAACTACAAACCACAGCTCAAAGAAATAAGTGACAACACAAAAAAATGGAAAAACATTCCATACTTATGGATAGGAAGAATCAATGTCATGAAATGGCCATACTCCCCAAGTTAATTTATAGATTCGATATTATTACCATCAACTTTCCTCACAGAATTAGAAAAAAACTACTTTAAATTTCATATGGAACCCAAAAAGAGCCCATATAGCCAAGAAAATCCTAAGCAAAAAGAACAAAGCTGGAGGCATCATGCAACCTGACTTCAAACTATACTACAAGGCTATAGTAACCACAGCAGCATGGTACTGGGTGCCAAAACAGACATAAAGACCAATGGAACAGAACAGAGACCTCAGAAATAACACCACACATCTACAGCCATCTAATTTTCGACAAACCTGACAAAAACAAGCAATGGGGAAAGAGTTCCTTATTTAATAAATGGTGTTGGGAAAACTGGCTAGCCATGTGCAGAAAACTGAAACTAGACCCCTTCCTTACACTTTATACAAAAATTAACTCAAGATGGATTAAAGACTTAAACGTAAGACCCAAAACCATAAAATCCCTAGAAGAAAACCTAGACAATGTCATTCAGGACATAGGTATGGGCAAAGACTTCATGACTAAAACACCAAAAGCCATTACAACAAAAGATACAATTGACAAATGGGATCTAATTAAAGAGCTCCCACACAGCAAAAGAAACTAGCATCAGAGTAAACAGGCAACCTGCAGAATGGGAGAAAATTTTTACAATCTACCCTTCTAACAAGGGTCTAATATCCAGAATCTACAAGGAACTTAAACAAATTTGAAAGAAAAAAACAAACATTCCCATTAAAAAGTGGGCAAAGGATATGAACAGACACTTCTCAAAAGAAGACATTTATGTGGCCAACAAACATATGAAGAAAATCTCATCATCACTGATCATTAGAAAAAAGCAAATCAAAACCACAAGGAGATACCATCTCACACCAGTGAGAATGGCAATTATTAAACAACAGTCAGGAAACAACAGATGCTGGAGAGGATGTGGAGAAATAGGAACGCTTTTACACTGTTGGTGGAAATGTAAATTAGTTCAACCATTGTGGGAGACAGTGTGGCAATTCCTCAAAGATCTAGAATCAGAAATACCATTTGACCCAGCAATCCCATTACTGGGTATGTACCTAAAGGAATATAGATTATTCTACCATAAAGATGCATGCACATGTATGTTTATTGCAGCACTATTTACAATAGCAAAAACATAGAACCAACCCAAATGTCCGTCAATGATAGACTGGATAAAGAAAATGTGGAACGTATACACCATGGAATACTATGCAGCCATAAAAAGAATGAGATCATGTCCTTTGCAGGGACATGGTTGAAGCTGGAAGCCATAATCCTCAGCAAACTTACACAGGAACAGAAAGCCAAACACCATATATTCTTACTCATAAGTGGGAGTTGAACAATGAGAACACATGGACACAGGGAGGAGAACAACACACACCGGGGCCAGTTGAGGGGTGGTTGGCAAGGGGAGGGAGAGCATGAGGACAAATACGTAATGTGTGTGGGGCTTAAAACCTAGATGATGGGTTGACAGGTGCAGCAAACCACCATGGCATATATGTACCTATGTAACAAACTTGCACATTCTGCACATGTAAACCCGAACTTAAAGTAAAATTTTAAAATAAAATAAAATAAATAAACTGGACTTGTAGTTTAATTTCTGATACTGCCTCTTGTATGATATATAAAATTTAATAATAATTGAAGTTTCATTTTTAAGTATATATGGATAACTTTGTAATTAGAAATTAAACTCTCTTGTAACATATATGTCTTGTTCACGTTTTTTCTTAAGTACCTAGAATACTATCTAAACCCGAACTTAAAGTAAAATAATAAAAAAAATTTGAAAAAAATTGAAACCTTTAAGAAATATGGAATTATGTATAGAGACCCAATATGTGACTCATTAGCATTTATGAGAAGGAAAAGGAGAGAATAAGCAACTTGAAAAATATATTTGAGAATATAGTTCATTAAAATTTCTATAATCTCAATAGAGACATTCATATACAAATCCAATAAAGATGGAGGACCCCATCTAGAAACTATACAAGATGACTATCCCCAAGGCACATAGTAATCAGATTCACTTAGATCAATGGAAAAGAAAAAAAAAGATCTTAAAAGCAGCTAGAGAAAGGGGTCAAGCCAAGTACAGAGGAGAATTCATCAGGCTAACAGCAGAACTCTCAGCAGAAACCTTACAAGACAGAAGTGATTGGGACCCTATTTTATTTATCCTTAAAGTAAAGAAATTCCAACCAAGAATTTCATATCCTGCCAAATTAAATGTTATAAGTGAAGAAGAAACGAACTTCTTCTCAGAGAAGCAAGTGCAAAAGGAAATCATTTCTACTAGACTAGCCTTACCAGAGGTCCTAAAAGGAATGCTAAACATTGAATCAAAAGAATGACATCTGCTTCCACAAAAATACACTTATGCACATAGACCACAGGCACTCTTTGTTTTTATACTTTAAGTTCTAGGGTGCATCTGCACAATGTGCAGGTTGGTTACATATGTGTACCTGTGCTGTGTTGGTTTGCTGCACCGATTAACTCATCATGTACATTATATTACCGCATGTTCTCACTCATAAGTGGGATGATTTAACTGGGGATGTAGTAAAAATCTCTAAAAATGATTCTTCCAAGTTATTAATATCAGTGTTAATCTCTGCAAATCCCCCTAATAATGCAACTTTTTTTTCTTTTCTTTCTTTTTTTTTTATTTATTTATTTATTTATTTATTTATATTGTCTCACTATCTTTTTTGGGATGAGAATAAGTGGCAGGTGTGAGTGTCAGCTTCAGTTTCTTTCTGCCATAACAGGACTCACTTCATGTGTCAGGGAACCATGTTGGGGATTCTGCTGGTTATATGATGTATCTATTATCAGTGCACAGTCTGATAATCAAGGGAAAACCACAAAGATAAATCCCACAGGGAATCCACAGTGTGATGAAATCAGCACAGGAGTCAGTAAATTCCCTTTCTGTGCACCGTGATGGTGTTTCAGTTTTGTGATGCTTAGTAGTATTTCAGAGCCACTGTTTATATATGCCCTGTCAGACCTATGTTTCCTTTTTGTCACTGCACAGTAACCATAGTTAATGGTCTCAGGTTTGTATTTGAAAACTTAGATGAAATTTCACATTTAAAATCCCATTGCAGGAACCTTTTTGAAAAGTATCTGGTCTTGTGTTCATGGTGGTCATCTGGTTATGTGAACTGATACCTGGGTAAGAAGATATAAATTTCCACAATGGTGACATGGTGACTCGAGACATATTCACTACATCTACACACACACACACACACACACACACACACACACACAGCTTCCCTCACATAGATCAAGTTTCTTTGATCTACCTATCACTTGCATACCTCAGAACACTGTACTCCATTAGCTATCACTGAAGATCACTGCTTTTCAAAACATTTTGTTTAGGCAACTTTCTGCTTTGCTGTCTATGGATAAGCAAAGTCATATAGCCTCTACCACTGTAAAGTACATTATTTCCTTGAAATCAGGGAGCTGTATTTTATTATGTCATCTCCCACCATCATGCTTCTCTTACAGACAAAAAAACAAAAAAAGCAATGACAAATCATTTAAAGGATTCTGGAGCTCCCTTTACCAAAACATTTCTTAGTGTCTTGAACAGGGTGTGTCTTCCTGATCTTCTAAGGAATATAATGAGGTGGTATCTGAGTGGTTGCACATAATACGTTAATCTTAATAGAAACATCACTGAAAACTTTAAGACATCTGCAGTGCGTCTAGAAAATTACAGCACTTCTATCTCATTTACTGTAGACCACATTTAAGTCTAGGAATTAATCTATGACACCAACACATTGTTAATTCTATTTTCTGAAGCTCAAGAAAGCATGCTAACTACAGATTTTGTGTGTGTGTGGGGGGGGCACCATAATGTACATTTGACTAGGAAAAAAATCCTCTTTTATCTAATATAGTTAGACTGCACTTCTACAACATGTACCCTATAGTTGCTGAAAAGATCTACCACTCAGTTAGTACATATAGGAGATTGCCTCCTTGTACCTCTTCCTCTTTGTTATGATAGGACCTAACTCTTATTATGGGATCAGAGGCAAGGGGAAATAGAGAGAAAAGTTACAAATATAGCTGGCTTTCTCTAGTGAAGAAACTGTACGAGGTAATGTAAAATTTTGCAATTTTGTTACAAATTACAACAGGTAATATAAAATTTTGACCTCCCCTAGAGGATATGTAGAATGGGTAAAGAGAAGGCTGCTATTCCTGGCAGAAAAAGCAAAAAAGCGCAGGAGAACTTGAGAGGTCAGAGTCATCTGCCTAATCTCTGTCTACCCAAATATATTCAACCCATGTTTCGAGTTTCACATTTCTCAAGCTTAGCATAAGGGTTCTGGAGTGGTTTAACATTTAACTTAACTGGCACTATAACACTGTGACCCTTACCATTAGGCCTGTGATACGGTTTGGATGTTCATTCCCTCCAAATCTCATGTTGAAATGTGACTCCCAATGTCATAGGTAGGACCCAGTGGGAGGTGACTAGATAATGGGGACAGATCTCTCATGAATAGCTAAACACCATCCTCCTGGTGATAAGTGATTTCCTGCTGTTAGTTCACACAAGATCCTTTTGTTTAAAAGAATCTGGGGCTTCTCCTTTCTCTCTCGCTTACTTCTCCTCTTGCCATGTGAATTGCCTCCTCCTGATTTGCCTTCTGCCATGAGTAAAGCTTCCCAAGACCTCACCAGAAGCCGCGCAGGTGTCAGCACCATGCTTTCTGTACAGCCTGCAGAACCATAAGCCTATTAAAACTTTTTTTTGGTAAATTATCCATCTTTGGGTATTTTTTTATAGCAATGCAGGAATGGCCTAATACAGTGTTTGCTTGATGATTTAGCCACAGCTTCTTTGTAGAACCATTCACTGCTGTCAAAAGCCTACGATTTTTTTTCACCTGTGCCCAGAGATGTCCATTCAAGTTATCCATTAATTTCATGTTACATGTGTTCTCCCCAGAGACATTAAACAATCATGGCACAATCAGTGTTATCATCACTACTGTGATGATGACTGACTGCTCAAGCACTTGGTCTCTCAATGCCTTGAACTCTACCAGAGTGGCATCCCATGTTACCACAAGTGATGATGTAAGTAATTGTGAACTACCACTCAAGCCATTAATAAAGTGTCTCCTTTCCTTTTTTCAAGGAATGAGTAACTCGATTTTTAAATTTCATTTTGAAAATCTATTTCTTCATGTCACTATTACAATTAATATTTTTTCAGTCTGGTCCTGATGTAAAACAGATGACACACACAAAAATAAAATTATTAAAGAAAATTTAATAAAATAATTTTAACTATATTTATTAAAGAGATTTAAGAAAAGCAACAACAATGACAAAAACTTCAAAGCGAAAGGAAATCCCAAAAAGATGCTGAAGCACCACTGGCCTAGAAATAGTGGAAAGCTGTTACCAATCCTTAGGCTTGCAAAAGCAAAGACAAGGAGTGGTTACAAGAATCCAGAAATAATTGTAGATGTCATAGTAGATGGCAGGGCAGAAGATGTGACCTTAGTAAAGACAGAGTACTACTAACAGTCTGACGTCCAAAAGAGGGCACGATGAAAATAAATGCCCCAACTTCTTCTTCTTATTCTGGTCTCCTTCTAATACCTTTTATAAGCTTTTCTAAACTGTGAGCTAGTAGGCAAAACAGCAAAGTTGAAGCAAACCACGGATGTCAGGCTTCCGGTTCTCATGACAGAATGTAGAAAGGTGAAAGGGTGATATGGAATCTCCAGCACACTGCCTAATTAATATGAAAAAGTCTTTCTACCCTCAAATTTAAAGAGCCTGTTTTTCCAGCTGAAAGTGCCAGTGCACATTGGCCTAGTCTTCAGTGTGTTTTGTGGTAGAATTTAGTTGTTTCCCCATATGATAGTTTCATTTTGAGCAATATCTCATCTAAGTCAGCTTTCTCTTGCTCCCTATGTAGAACCTTTATGTCTGAAAACTAATAAACATAATTTCTGTTCCATCAGAGCATATCTCTGTATTCTCTTAATCTTGATAATGAACTCTATCGCTCTGTCTAGACAAGGCAGTGCATAGGCAGAAAGTAGGGGCAGACAGCTTAGTTAGGGTCCCAGGAACCTGGCATGTTCTGCTGCACCGAAAACCAAAGTTTTTGTGCCAACTCTTCATTTTCCAAGTTCTGGATACTAAGTTTTATTTAAGTGACTTTTAAAAATCTGTTTAACAAATGTAAGTATGCTTTCCCATTCACCCACATACTTGAACTTCACTTGCATATTTTTTTCTATGGATACATTCATTATGTCTAGAAATACAAGCCCCTAACCACTGATTAAAAAAACATGCTGAGTTCACCAAATTACCAGAAAATGCCTATAAATAGACAAGAGTGTGTGCCTCCCACACACTGGACACCCTTGAACCTTGGTAAGACGCCCAGCCAGATTCCTCATTATTTTACTTTATGAAGATGTTCTTTAACTAAACTATTTCTTTTTTTTTTTTCAAATTATGAATTAATGATTTATTGCCTTGTTGGTTTCAAAGATAATCAATTGTCGATTAAGGCTAGATCTTGGCCAGGTAGGTGACTTTTGAGGTCTCTCATGGAATGGCTTTTAAAAATTAATAGCTTTAAGGCAGCTGTAGACATAGCCTTCTTAGGTCTTCCCAGCAGAGACAGAGGCTTCAAATGCGGGGAGATTATGGCAGGAGAAGAGGTGGCTCCGTCTTCCTTGTGTCTGTGGCTGGGTGGGAGATCCTGCTGGGCAGGGAGCCCGTGGTCGCAAACCTGCAGTTGACACTCTCCAGGCCACTCTCAGCAGAGAACATAGGATCTGGCACATAGAAGGCACTCAAAGCAACTGAGCATTCAAAGATGAGTTCATTTACCTCTATGGTTTAATCAAGGCATGGCCATGTCCTTTAAAAATAAACAAATCAAGCATATAGATACAATTTAACAATCGCCTGATTTGAGTCTTTTTTCTTTTTCTTTTTTTATTATACTTTAAGTTTTAGGGTACATGTGCACATTGTGCAGGTTAGTTACATATGTATACATGTGCCATGCTGGTGCGCTGCACCCACTAACTCGTCATCTAGCATTAGGTATATCTCCCGATGCTATCCCTCCCCCCTCCCCCCACCCCACAACAGTCCCCAGAGTATGATATTCCCCTTCCTGTGTCCATGTGATCTGATTGTTCAATTCCCACCTATGAGTGAGAATATGCGGTGTTTGGTTTTTGTTCTTGCGATAGTTTACTGAGAATGATGATTTCCAATTTCCTCCATGTCCCTACAAAGGACATGAACTCATCCTTTTTTATGGCTGCATAGTATTCCATGGTGTATATGTGCCACATTTTCTTAATCCAGTCTATCATTGTTGGACATTTGGGTTGGTTCCAAGTCTTTACTATTGTGAGTAATGCCGCAATAAACATAACGTGTGCATGTGTCTTTATAGCAGCATGATTTATAGTCCTTTGGGTATATACCCAGTAATGGGATGGCTGGGTCAAATGGTATTTCCAGGTCTAGATCCCTGAGGAATCGCCACACTGACTTCCACAATGGTGGAACTAGTTTACAGTCCCACCAACAGTGTAAAAGTCTTCCTATTTCTCCACATCCTCTCCAGCACCTGTTGTTTCCTGACTTTTTAATGATTGCCATTCTAACTGGTGTGAGATGGTATCTCATTGTGGTTTTGATTTGCATTTCTCTGATGGCCAGTGATGGTGAGCATTTTTTCATGTGTTTTTTGGCTGCATAAATGTCTTCTTTTGAGAAGTGTCTGTTCATGTCCTTCGCCCACTTTTTGATGGGGTTGTTTGTTTTTTTCTTGTAAATTTGTTTGAGTTAATTGTAGATTCCGGATATTAGCCCTTTGTCAGATGAGTAGGTTGCGAAAATTTTCTCCCATTTTGTAGGTTGCCTGTTCACTCTGATGGTAGTTTCTTTTGCTGTGCAGAAGCTCTTTAGTTTAATTAGATCCCATTTGTCAATTTTGGCTTTTGTTGCCATTGCTTTTGGTGTTTTAGACATGAAGTCCTTGCCCATGCCTATGTCCTGAATGGTAATGCCTAGGTTTTCTTCTAGGGTTTTTATGGTTTTAGGTCTAACGTTTAAGTCTTTAATCCATCTTGAATTGATTTTTGTATAAGGTGTAAGGAAGGGATCCAGTTTCGGCTTTCTACATATGGCTAGCCAGTTTTCCCAGCACCATTTATTAAATAGGGAATCCTTTCCCCATTGCTTGTTTTTCTCAGGTTTGTCAAAGATCAGATAGTTGTAGATATGTGGCGTTATTTCTGAGGGCTCTGTTCTGTTCCATTGATCTATATCTCTGTTTTGGTACCAGTACCATGCTGTTTTGGTTACTGTAGCCTTGTAGTATAGTTTGAAGTCAGGTAGTGTGATGCCTCCAGCTTTGTTCTTTTGGCTTAGGATTGACATGGCGATGCAGGCTCTTTTTTGGTTCCATATGAACTTTAAAGTAGTTTTTTCCAATTCTGTGAAGAAAGTCATTGGTAGCTTGATGGGGATGGCATTGAATCTGTAAATTACCTTGGGCAGTATGGCCATTTTCACAATATTGATTCTTCCTACCCATGAGCATGGAATGTTCTTCCATTTGTTTGTATCCTCTTTTATTTCCTTGAGCAGTGGTTTGTAGTTCTCCTTGAAGAGGTCCTTCACATCCCTTGTAAGTTGGATTCCTAGGTATTTTATTCTCTTTGAAGCAATTATGAATGGGAGTTCACTCATGATTTGGCTCTCTGTTTGTCTGTTGTTGGTGTATAAGAATGCTTCTGATTTTTGCACGTTGATTTTGTATCCTGAGAGTTTGCTGAAGTTGCTTATCAGCTTAAGGAGATTTTGGGCTGAGACAATGGGGTTTTCTAGGTATACAATCATGTCGTCTGCAAACTGGGACAATTTGACTTCCTCTTTTCCTAATTGAATACCCTTTATTTCCTTCTCCTGCCTAATTGCCCTGGCCAGAATTTCCAACACTATGTTGAATAGGAGTGGTGAGAGAGGGCATCCCTGTCTTGTGCCAGTTTTCAAAGGGAATGCTTCCAGTTTTTGCCCATTCTGTATGATATTGGCTGTGGGTTTGTCATAGATAGCTCTTATTATTTTGAAATACGTCCCATCAATACCTAATTTATTGAGAGTTTTTAGCATGAAGGGTTGTTGAACTTTGTCAAAGGCTTTTTCTGCATCTATTGAGATAATCATGTGGTTTTTGTCTTTGGTTGTGTTTATATGCTGGATTACATTTATTTATTTGCGTATATTGAACCAGCCTTGCATCCCAGGGATGAAGCCCACTTGATCATGGTGGATAAGCTTTTTGATGTGCTGCTGGATTCGTTTTGCCAGTATTTTATTGAGGATTTTTGCATCAATGTTCATCAAGGATATTGGTCTAAAATTCTCTTTTTTTGTTGTGTCTCTGCCTGGCTTTGGTATCAGAATGATGCTGGCCTCATAAAATGAGTTAGGGAGGATTCCCTCTTTTTCTATTGATTGGAATAGTTTCAGAAGGAATGGTACCAGTTCCTCTTGTACCTCTGGTAGAATTCGGCTGTGAATCCATCTGGTCCTGGACTCTTTTTGGTTGGTAAGCTATTGATTATTGCCACAATTTCAGCTCCTGTTATTGGTCTATTCAGAGATTCAACTTCTTCCTGGTTTAGTCTTGGGAGAGTGTATGTGTCCAGGAATTTATCCATTTCTTCTAGATTTTCTAGTTTATTTGCGTAGAGGTGTTTGTAGTATTCTTTGATGGTAGTTTGTGTTTCTGTGGGATCGGTGGTGACATCCCCTTTATCATTTTTTATCGCGTCTATTTGATTCTTCTCTCTTTTTTTCTTTATTAGTCTTGCTAGCGGTCTATCAATTTTGTTGATCCTTTCAAAAAACCAGCTCCTGGATTCATTAATTTTTTGAAAGATTTTTTGTGTCTCTATTTCCTTCAGTTCTGCTCTGATTTTAGTTATTTCTTGCCTTCTGCTAGCTTTTGAATGTGTTTGCTCTTGCTTTTCTAGTTCTTTTAATTGTGACGTTAGGGTGTCAATTTTGGATCTTTCCTGCTTTCTCTTGTGGGCATTTAGTGCTATAAATTTCCCTCTACACACTGCTTTGAATGTCTCCCAGAGATTCTGGTATGTTGTGTCTTTGTTCTCGTTGGTTTCAAAGAACATCTTTATTTCTGCCTTCATTTCGTTATGTACCCAGTAGTCATTCAGGAGCAGGTTGTTCAGTTTCCATGTAGTTGAGCGGTTTTGAGTGAGATTCTTAATCCTGAGTTCTAGTTTGATTGCACTGTGGTCTGAGAGATAGTTTGTTATAATTTCTGTTCTTTTACATTTGCTGAGGAGAGCTTTACTTCCCAGTATGTGGTCAATTTTGGAATAGGTGTGGTGTGGTGCTGAAAAAAATGTATATTCTTTTGATTTGGGGTGGAGAGTTCTGTAGATGTCTATTAGGTCTGCTTGGTGCAGAGCTGAGTTCAATTCCTGGGTATCCTTGTTGACTTTCTGTCTCGTTGATCTGTCTAATGTTGACAGTGGGGTGTTAAAGTCTCCCATTATTAATGTGTGGGAGTCTAAGTCTCTTTGTATGTCACTCAGGACTTGCTTTATGAATCTTGGTGCTCCTGTATTGGGTGCATATATATTTAGGATAGTTAGCTCTTCTTGTTGAATTGATCCCTTTACCATTATGTAATGGCCTTCTTTGTCTCTTTTGATCTTTGTTGGTTTAAAGTCTGTTTTATCAGAGACTAGGATTGCAACCCCTGCCTTTTTTTGTTTTCCATTGGCTTGGTAGATCTTCCTCCATCCTTTTATTTTGAGCCTATGTGTGTCTCTGCACGTGAGATGCGTTTCCTGAATACAGCACACTGATGGGTCTTGACTCTTTATCCAATTTGCCAGTCTGTGTCTTTTAATTGGAGCATTTAGTCCATTTACGTTTAAAGTTAATATTGTCATATGTGAATTTGATCCTGTCATTATGATGTTAGCTGGTGATTTTGCTCATTAGTTGATGCAGTTTCTTCCTAGTCTCGATGGTCTTTACATTTCGGCATGATTTTGCAGTGGTTGGTACCGGTTGTTCCTTTCCATGTTTAGTGCTTCCTTCAGGAGCTCTTTTAGGGCAGGTCTGGTGGTGACAAAATCTCTCAGCATTTGCTTGTCTGTAAAGTATTTTATTTCTCCTTCACTTATGAAGCTTAGTTTGGCTGGATATGAAATTCTGGGTTGCAAATTCTTTTCTTTAAGAATGTTGAATATTGGCCCCCACTCTCTTCTGGCTTGTAGGGTTCTGCCGAGAGATCCGCTGTTAGTCTGATGGGCTTCCCTTTGAGGGTAACCCGACCTTTCTCTCTGGCTTCCCTTAACATTTTTTCCTTCATTTCAATTTTGGTGAATCTGACAATTATGTGTCTTGGAGTTGCTCTTCTCGAGGAATATCTTTGTGGCGTTCTCTGTATTTCCTGAATCTGAACGTTGGCCTGCCTTGCTAGATTGGGGAAGTTCTCCTGCATAATATCCTGCAGAGTGTTTTCCAACTTGGTTCCATTCTCCCCATCACTTTCACGTACACCAATCAGATGCAGATTTGGTCTTTTCGCATAGTCCCATATTTCTTGGAGGCTTTGCTCATTTCTTTTTATTCTTTTTTCTCTAAACTTCCCTTCTCGCTTCATTTCATTCATTTCATCTTCCATCGCTGATACCCTTTCTTCCAGTTGATCGCATCGGCTCCTGAGGCTTCTGCATTCTTCACGTAGTTCTCGAGCCTTGGTTTTCAGCTCCATCAGCTCCTTTAAGCACTTCTCTGTATTGGTTATTCTAGTTATACATTCTTCTAAATTTTTTTCGAAGTTTTCAACTTCTTTGCCTTTGGTTTGAATGTCCTCCTGTAGCTCAGAGTAATTGGATCGTCTGAAGCCTTCTTCTCTCAGCTCGCCAAAGTCATTCTCCATCCAGCTTTGTTCCGTTGCTGGTGAGGAACTGCGTTCCTTTGGAGGAGGAGAGGCGCTCTGCTTTTTAGAGTTTCCAGTTTTTCTGTTCTGTTTTTTCCCCATCTTTGTTGTTTTATCTACTTTTGGTCTTTGATGATGGTGATGTACAGATGGGTTTTTGGTGAGGATGTCCTTTCTGTTTGTTAGTTTTCCTTCTAACAGAGAGGACCCTGAGCTGCAGGTCTGTTGGAGTACCCTGCTGTGTGAGGTGTCAGTGTGCCCCTGCTGGGGGGTGCCTCCTAGTTAGGCTGCTCAGGGGTCAGGGGTCAGGGACCCACTTGAGGAGGCAGTCTGCCTGTTCTCAGATCTCCAGCTACGTGCTGGGAGAACCACTGCTCTCTTCAAAGCTGTCAGACAGGGACATTTAAGTCTGCAGAGGTTACTGCTGTCTTTTTGTTTGTGTGTGCCCTGCCCCCAGAGGTGGAGCCTACAGAGGCAGGCAGGCCTCCTTGAGCTGTGGTGGGCTCCACCCAGTTGGAGCTTCCCGGCTGCTTTGTTTACCTAAGCAAGCCTGGGCAATGGCGGGCACCCCTCCCCCAGCCTGGCTGCCACCTTGCAGTTTGATCTCAGACTGCTGTGCTAGCAATCAGTGAGACTCTGTGGGCGTAGGACCCTCCGAGCCAGGTGCGGGATATAATCTCGTGGTGCGCCGTTTTTTAAGCCCGTCGGAAAAGCGCAGTATTCGGGTGGGAGTGACCCTATTTTCCAGGTGCCGTCCGTCACCCCTTTCTTTGACTCAGGGAACTCCCTGACCCCTTGTGCTTCCCAAGTGAGGCAATGCCTCGCCCTGCTTCGGCTCGCGCACGGTGCGCGCACCCACTGACCTGCGCCCACTGTCTGGCACTCCCTAGTGAGATGAACCCAGTACCTCAGGTGGAAATGCAGAAATCACCCGTCTTCTGCGTCGCTCACGCTGGGAGCTGTAGACCGGAGCTGTTCCTATTCGGCCATCTTGGCTCCTCCCTCTAACTAAACTATTTCTAAAGTGAAAAAAGAGAGATAGTTAAGATTTTAGTTGTATACTGCTATAAGAATTTTAATTTAGTAGAATCTGAAAGTATCTCATCATGGGATTAAGTAAGATAATAGACATTAATTTTTCACCTGGACTGGGATGTATAAGATAAGGTAAAATGCATGAGAAAGATTAAATATAGGGTGCATATATTTTTAAAAAACAAATTATATATCTAATTTATATGCATATGCACAAGTAAAATTATTTTAAAGTTTATCAACAATCTAAAATAAAATCAAAAATAATAAAAATAAAATGAATACAATGAATTCATGGGGCTTATAATATATATAGATCTCAAAGATAAGAGAACAGGAGTATAAATGATGTGAAGAAGATAAGTGAAATTTTAGTTTTTGCTCAAAGGTTCTTATATCACTACAAAGTAATATAATATTATTTGAAAACAGACTATGATAAATTAAACATGCATATATTATTCACCACAGCAACCACTAAAACTTTCTGAAAGAAGTATGAGAAAATATTTTTTTAAAAAATCAAGAGAGAGTTGAAAACATTATAAAGTGAAAAAAATAGAAAACAAATACCTAGATGTTAGACTCATCTTTCTATAACAGTATTTATATGAAATATACATTAACTAAATTCTACCACTAAAAGGCAGTAATTGTCTATTTGGATAACAAAGCAAGCACTAAATATATCTACAAGTGACACATTTTAATTCAATAAATCAATAAATAATAGACATTGATTATAAAAGACTAGAACATATATATATGTATAAAACATGAAAACACTAAGCATATTAAGGTAGGTTTATGTTTTTTAATATAAAACTAATATATTTCAGTACAAGAAATATTACCAAGATAAATAGGGCCTTCATATTGCAATTCATTGAGAAGACATACTAATCTTAAATATGTGTGCACCTAATAAAGAGTTTCAAACTATATAAAACAGAATAGACTAAGAAGAGTAATAAGCAAATTCATGGAATAGTTGGAGATCATAACTCTCATCTTACAGTAATTGATAGAACAATAAAATTAAAAAGTGCAAACAGATGGGATATGAATAACACTGTGAAAATATTTACCTCACAGAGACTTATAGAATACTACATACTAAAATGAACATATTCAAAACTTTTAGATGTGCCCATGAAGTATTCATCTAGACAGACCATATGCTGAATCATAAAATAAGTCTCAATAAATTTTAAAGGACCAATATCATACAGATCATGCTCTTTGGCCACAATAAAATTAAATTGGGAAATAAAAATAATCTCAATATATTTTGAAATTAAGCAATTCACTTATTAATATGTGATTCATATTTTAAATGACAAGAAAAAAATAGGAAATGTTGTAATATAAATGAAATAAAAGCAGCACATGGACATTATTGAATTTATTTAATGATGTCCTAAAGCCTCAAATGCCCATTTTAAGGGAAAAAATGTAAAATCCATGATTTTAACTTTCATCTAATGAAAGTATAAAATGAAGAGCAAATTAATCCACAAGTAAATAGAAGTAAATGAAAAGTAAACAGAAGTAACAAAAGGAAATAAGAATGAAAATCATGTAATAAATAAAACCAGTAGAGATGACACGATATTTGTCCTTCTACACCTGACTTATTTCACTTGGCATAATGTTCTTAGCTTCTTTTAGTCTTTGCCTCAAGATCTGTTTTGTAGAGAACCTGGATGTGAGAGACATAAAAGATGCAAAATCCAAATTACCTTTCAGAATGAACTTGTTCAGCTATTAATAGTGCTAACAGCAGAAAGCTCTCCCGCTGTTTCCTTTAGAGTCAGCCTCAGTTTCAATGAGTGACCTTGCCTAAAGTCACGCAGGACATCCTATGTTCAGTGACTAAATGGTCGACAGGTATAAAACCAGCTATTTTGGCTCACACAGAGAAGACTCTGATGGATAGTATTTACTCAAGTGCTCCACCAAGTTAATGGGTATCTGTTGCAACTAAATTCCAGATAAACTTCCTCCTTTATCTAATCCTTCCCACCCTCTTCCTTTCATTAATGTTTTTTAAATTTACGGTCCAATTGCCTTCTCTTTTATAGAAATTCCCCCAAATTTCAGATCAACTATGGATTCTATTTCTTATTTTCTATCATTCTTATGAATTTATTTATTATTGTACTTTATTAATGGATTTGTTGCAAATGGAATTTTGAAGAGAGTGGAGAGAGGATTGTGTACTCAATCATCTCTTTGACCTAACATTCCTCTTTTAAAATTGCATATATTTTATAGTAATTATTTTATTCTTTCTCACTATAAAACTGAGAATGCAAATAGATTATTAAGTCTACATAATTGAATTTATACAAATGTAAACATTCAGTGGAACAGCAAGGTATGACATCTAATTTGATAGAAAAAAACATAGCAATTTATTTTGATACTTTGAGATATATTACTTTTTAATTTTCTTACAGTGTTTAAATTTGTAGAATGTCCTTTCAGAGCACCTTTTCCCTCTAGTTGAAAGTTTAAATCCAATCTAATTATTCTTATATTTTCTTTTTAGTTTAGGCTTCAAGACATTGACCATGGTTTCTTGATGCTAATTACATTTAACATCAACATTAAAACGAGTATAAAAAGGGCTCTGAGTCCACCGTTTCTTTGTTAGGCAACCTTGCATGTAATAGCTTTGAAAATAGAGGGAACTAAAATCTAATAGCAATAAACATTGCCCCTTTGGAAATCCTGTTATGAGGAAGGTCTAGTCATAACTTCATTTTATCTTCACTTGTTTCAAAAATCCTTTAAAATTAAATTCTGTGTTCAGTAAACCAAAATGTCTCCTTGGTACATTTTAAAACACATTTCCTAGTGTGTTTATCTTCCCTAAAAGCCACTCAGCTGAAGTCATTAAACACATCATCGCCATTACCACCAGGGTCGTTTCTTGTGCTTCAGGCTTTGTTGGTTCATTACCAAGCAATTGCTGGACCTATAAGATGGATTTATTTTTGATAGTATTCCATCCTTTCTAAACACTCGTATGGGAATCATGTAAATACCACCTTATTGTAAGAGTCTCATTAAATTATGTGGTTTACTTGTAGTTTATTAAATTAATAAATATAGACAATCTGAATAATGTCTTTATTTTGATGAATAAGGACAGTGTCAAAAGGAAAAATAGTACTAGCTCGTAATGTGTTGTAATCAGTCAAAAAACTCAAGGAAAAAGTTTCATTTTAGCTCTTACTGTGGATGCACCTAATTCTTATAAATTAATTTTCTAAAGATATTTAGTCCTCAGCCTGAAATATTTGCTTATTTACCATTTTGGTTTTGATGCCAATTTTGAGGTAAAGGGAAATATATATCGCTTTCAGATTCATGGACTCATTCAATGGTTAAAAAAAAAGTGATATCAAAATAATCTGTCTTTAAAATTGGTTATATTAAAACAATTCATTCACATAATTGTGAGCTTTTAAAAATTTTAGGTTTTACTCAATAGATTTTTGAGACATGAGTTTTGAGAAATGAATTATATCATTTTATTTCTTTGGAACTCAATTTTAGTCATTATTATTATGATAAACAATTTTATATTCACCTATCCAACCCAGGCTTAAGAAATTAAATAGTTCAATGCAACTTAGAGATCAAAAAGTAAAACCACAGTCATAGTTATTGCTTCATGGGCAGTTTAATTTCCTTCAGTAACAGTTTTCATCAAGGAAATAAGAATAAATTAGTTGTTCCAAAGAGGAAGTGAAAAGCTCAATAAAGCTCAGAGAAGACTTGAACAAAGGTGTTCGGAAGGAGCCTAGGGCCTAAAAATGAAAGTCTGAGAGAATCACATTAAGCGATAGGTGGAATGGCTCTTGACTGGTGCCTACTACCAATATTCCATCTGCATTTCATCTTGCTAAATTGTAGATCTATGGAAAAATTTGATAACGTAAAAATTTTCAACCTTCCCTGGAGAATATACTAATTTCTAGATTTTATGTCTATATTGTTTTTGTTATTAATTCATAAATCAAATAAAGGTGGAAAAAGAAGAAAAACTTCAGCTTTATAAAAGATATCAGAGAAGAAAGACTACAAAAAGATTTCCTTGCTATTTCCCTGTTTTTAGCTTTAAACTAAGCAGTATTAAGGGCAGCAATCATGTCATATTTGAATTATAAAAAGGTGATGCAAATTTCTTGTTAATAAAATTTTTCTTTTATTAAAATACCTGGTCATATATAACTGAGCATCATGTCAAATTACTTTATTTTATTATCTGGAAATGAGAGCCAGAGATAATGTACAGCAACAATGAAACAATTAAAGTTTAACACAATTATAATAGAAAAATCACAGCAAGTGATTGTATGTTTGTGTGTGTGCGTCTGTGTGTGTGTGTATGTGTGTATGTACCACAGAAATAAACTGATATTATAGATTCTGAAAGAAAATTACTGCCTTTCAAAATATTTTAATTAAAAATAGACTTAATGATTTATTGTTGTTAATGAAATAGCAAGTGGTGGCTGCATTTGATCAGTCTGCTATGAGTAGTCAGCAGTGATAATGAATACAAATATGAATTAGCTCAATATAACCATTTAAAATATATGTGTATTTCAAGACATCATGTTGTACATGATAAACATAGCAATTTTTGTAAATTAAAATTTCATTCATTAAAAATAAATAAGTCAATAGTTTTTTAATTCATTGTCATCTGTCTTAAATATAACAGTTAAAATAAAAAATGCATGAACTTAATGTGAGTATCCTCTATCAGATTGATTGACCACTATAAATTTCAAAAAGTCAATAATTAGTTTCCTCTTCTACAGTGAAGCACCTATGGTATTTGTGTTAACTGGCTGTCAGTTAAAAAGTTAGAAAAGGGGCCGGGTGCGGTGGCTCACGCCTGTAATCCCAGCACTTTGGGAGGCCGAGGCGGGTGGATCACGAGGTCAGGAGATCGAGACCATCCTGGCTAACACGGTGAAACCCCGTCTCTACTAAAAATACAAAAAATTAGCCGGGCGTGGTGGCGGGCGTCTGTGGTCGCAGCTACTCGGGAGGCTGAGGCAGGAGAATGACGTGAACCTGGGAGGCGGAACATGCAGTGAACCAAGATCGTGCCACTGCACTCCAGCCTGGGCAACAGAGCAAGACTCTGTTTCAAAAAAAAAAAGAAAAAAGGAACGACATATTTAAATAAATTATTTTGTGTTGACCATATTACTAGGTGGTTAGATATAATACATTATTTTCATAGAAAATCTCAGAGGTAGAAAATTATCTTTTTACCTCTTTTTATGCCTCATAGATATAAATCTAACACAACACATACAGGATATATATGAGAAAAGATATAAACACTGAGAAAAAAAGAACTAAATAAATTGAGAGATTCCATATTTATGAATTAAGATGATTCAATATTATTAAAGATGTTAGTTCTTCTCATCTTGATCTACAGATTCAATACAATTCCAATGAAAATACCAGCAAGTTATTTTGCAGATATTGATTAACAAATTCTAAAATTTTTATGAAAGGGGAAAGGGTTTAATACAACACAGGAATTATTAAAAAAAGTTACAAGACTCAAACTACTCTATTCTAAGACTAATAGGATGCTACAATAATCAAGATATTATTGTATGGAGGAAATAATTGGCATAAATAAATAGAACAGAATGGAGAACTCAAAAATTGATCCACAAAAATATGGTCAACTGATTTTTGACAAAGGCAGAAAGGAAGTTATTGCTACCCAAGTGTCATTACTTTTAGACTACCAGTAGAAAGAATAAGACAAGCATGTGTGTATACTAACCTGTGCACATATCTATATTTGTAATATTTCTTCAAGAAATGATGCCAGAATACTTGGACATCATATGCAAAAAAGTAGTAATAACATAGGCACACATTTTATATCTTACATAAAAATTCTTGATATGGATCATAGTTTTTATTTTTTTCTTTTATATTTTAGGATTTTAAAACTAACCTATAATTATACATATTTATGGAACACATAGTGATGTTTACATATAATGTACAGTGATCAGATTAGTTGTGATTAGAATATCCATCATCTCTAGCATTTTTTATTTATTTTGTTTTGGGAGCATCTAATATCCTCATTCTAGCTATTTGGAGAAATTTATTATTGTTAACTATAGTCATCCTTCAGTGGTATAGAATACTAGAACTTACTTTTCCTATCTAGCTGTAATTTTGTATCCTTTAACCAATCTCTCACTATTCCTCCCTCTCCCTAAACTTCCCAGCCTTTAGTAAACTCTGCTCTACTTTTTACTTCTATGAGATCAACTTTTGTTTGCTTCCACAAATGAGTGAGAACATATAGTGTTTGGCTTTCTTTTCCTGGCTCATTTCACTTAACATCATATCTTTCAGTTTCGTTCATGTTGCCATGAATGACAGGATTTCATTCTTTTTTATAATTAAATAGTATTCCATTGTGTATATATGCTCCCTTTTTTCTTTTATTCATTCATATGTTGTTGGACACCTAGGTTGATTTCATATATTGCTATTGTAAATAGTAATGCATTAAACATGAGGGCACAGATGTCTCTTTGATAAATTGATTTCCTTTCCTTTAGATAAATGCCCTTTATAAAATACAAATCTATAAAATATGTAAAATTAAACAAAGAAGAAAGTCTATGTGGCCCTAGGTTTGGTGAGGGGTCTTTGGGCACAGTAACAAAATCACAATTCACAAAAAAATCAATAATTTGGACTATATTAAAATTTAAAATTTTTGCTCTGTGAAAAACATTGTTAAGAGAATTAAAAGACAGTCGCCACCAGGAGAAACATTTGAACATCTGGAAATAATATGCAATACAAAGGATTTATATCCAAAATATACAATGGACTCTTAAAATGCAACAGTGTATATTTTTTAAATGCACCAACGACCTGAGCAAACAAAAGCAAAGGAGATATATGGGTGGCAAATAAGCATATAGAAAGATATTCAACATAATTTGGCTTCTAGGAAGCACAGTTTCAAACAACAATGAGTTAATCATTAAACATTAAGTGTGATAAAATACAAAAATAAACTTCACAATATCAATTGCTAGTGAGGATGCAAAGCAACAGGAAAACATAGTTCTTCTATAAGATACAATATTCAGTGATCAGATTACTCATTCCACATGTATAATGCGAGAATAATGAATGGGGCAACGTGTTAAGAGTGTTTAGAGAAAATTCATCCTAGGAATGTGGAAGACTTACTCTATCATAAACCCCTGCACTCCAGCCCTAACATTTAGCAATTCACACATGCTTAAAATAATTAAGAATATATTTAATACTAAAATCACAGTTCTTATAAAACCATATTGAAATACATATACTTAATTTGAATATTTGATAGGACATTACACCTAGGATAGTATATACATTTTTATTGCATTCAAATGTAACAGTTTAAAACTGTATCCATTTATTGTCTGATACTTTTCCTCCTAGCACTCCTATTCCTCCTAGGCCCTCCCATAACAGCTTTCTGATTTCTGAAGGGGTAAGGGGACCAGGGAGGCTTCCCATTTGCTTTAAAGAATAGAGGAGTTGGGTGCCTGGCAGCGATTAGGGCCCCTACAGTGCATATCTTCTTTATTCAGATGAACTACTCAGAACCAACTACTTCCAGAGGATTTTTTTTCATTAAAACAAAGGCATACAACTGAAAATAGGAACCCAGTTCTAGTTTAAGCCATCTTATACAAAAAAAGACATTGACATTAATTATTCCTGCAGCTCAATCATAAGGATATAGAAAGTATAACTCAGCTCTCTCTGTCCTCTTTTCTTTTAGAAATTTGGTACATATAGGAAAGACCCATTCTAGTCAACACTAAGTTTAATGGGGCTAGACCCTCACATGGACAGCCTAGTCATTGACCAGTGGTTCCTACGTTTGTGTAGGGCAGTTCATCTAATGTGGGGGTTCATCATTAGGCCTATTTGTGTTGCACATCTAACTTTCATCTTCTAAATCAGCACTTTTAGTGATGGATTTGGTCCCAGTTTACACTCCTCTGCCATTCTCAACTTATTCCAAACCAAGGTGGGAAACACAGGGATGATATTAATCAGGACTCCCTCAAGACTCAGCTGCAGACTGGAGAAAACTCATTTATATGTATTTATTTATACTTTTATTGTATTTTATTTTAGTTCGCTTGTTCTTTGGAAATTAAGTTCTGATGTTGAATGCCATGCATTGTGTTTTGTGATAGCTCAAACAATAGAAAATAATCTATGGCCAACTTTGTTCCAGCAGGCATTTTGCCAGTGCCTGTCCAGATACAAGGAGGACTCTCTCCTCCCCAGCCTTCATGTCATCTCCTAGTTACAGAACCAGGGAGGAAAAGACAGCCAACTTGTTGAGCTTCTTCTCTGCTCCATATAACGGGAGACTAGGGACACTGAGATTTTATCTTTAAGGGCACAATTAAAACAATAAATATCCTGTCTGATATTCTGGGGCTTTAACTGCTGCATTTTATTCACACTGGAAAGGGGAAAAATGCCTGTGCTTGCTGACCTTATTAAATTCCAGCAAACTTTGAAGGCTCACTCACACACTCCATGTCTAGCTCATTGACCTGCTGGGGTCAGAAGCTGCTTGTCTTGAAAGATGAAGATAAGTTGGATTTAAAAAAGAGAAGAAGATAAAAAATACTTGAGATGCTGTCTTCACCAAATCCTGTACTTATTTCCTCTGCAGTCCATCTACTTTAAAAACAAATCAAATTAATTTTCTCCTGTAAAACTTGATGATAATCGTAGCTGTAATTTTCATGAAAGTGGAAGGTGCTAAGGAATGTGGGGTGGTGGTGAGAGTGTAACTACTTAAATACCTTGGAAGCCCCAATTCAGAACATAATGCATTTTACTTTCTCTCATTTCAATCAAGTAATTATAAACAGATATTTAAGATTCTGTAGATAGGATGACTATTTGCATAAATATTCTCATTTTATCCTTGAATACATCAATTAGTACTTGCTAATTGTGTTTAGCTCGTGATTTATGTCCCCACCCAAATCTCATGTCAAATTGGAGGAGGGACCTGGTGGGAGTGATTGGATCATGGAGGTTTGTTTCCCCCTTGCTGTTCTTGAGATAGTGAGTTCTCATGAGATCTGATGGTTTAAAAGTGTGTGGCATTTCCCCCCTCGCTCACTCTCTCTGTCTCCTGCCACTATGTTAAGAAAGTCCTTGCTTCCACATCCCCTTCTGCCATATAAGTTTCCTGATGCCTCTCAGCCATTCTTCCTGTTAAGCCTGTGGAACTGAGTGCACATTGTATCTTAAGTGTCATTGTTTGAGTGATAAATTAGTTACCACCCTAAATATAGAAAAAGTTTCTCATTTCTTTCTTAACAATTACAGAGAGAAATAATTATAGTCATAGAAAATTGTTTTCTTTATAATTAACCTATAGCTAAAACATCCTAAATATATTTATAATTATTACATTCTAGTACAGCAAAGTTATAATCTTACAAAAACTTCAGTGTATGACATATTATTTGGACTTCTCAGTATATAACAAATAAGTAGTGTTTAAAATGTACATATTCAAAATCCATTTATTATATTTCATATTAAGTTTCTGGTTTTTTTTTCACAAGCACCAAGTGTTTTGGTATTTTTACAGACTTATCTTGCAATAATTGTTTTGATTCTTAGCAAGTCATTGCTTGGCAGATTGCACATCTTTCCTACTCTCACAATAAAGCTAAGAAAAATGTCTCATTATTATTCTCATTTTACAGGTTTATAGTTATAAGTAAGAAAGATTCATTAGCTTTTCCAAAGACACTCAACCAGTGAAAGAGAATCTACTTTGAAGCTATGATCTGTGTACTGGGGCACTGAACTCTGAAGCACCAACCTTTATAGACTTGCGCCTTCTAACATATCTGCCTATGTTGGCATGCAAAAACCTTTATATCAGACTATCCCCACTCCATTCTATGGAGACCACTCATTAGCTCATGCCCTAGAAGACTGCCTTCATTTATTAATTACCTTACAAAATTTCAATATCTCTATCTGTCTAATCCAGCACCTAACCTCAATACTGTTCTGAGAGCTTTCCCTGATGAATCCCCACTGTTTACATCATTTTGGACTCTCCCAACTATACCCTATGGAACCCCTTCTATGCTCAATGACTTGACTGAAGTCCTTTCCCATTCTTGGACATAATTAATATTTGATCCCTCATCTATATACCTCTACTTCCCTTGTCATTGTTATTGAACAGTTTCTATAGATATTTCTCTCTGTACAGAAGTACATTGTCTCCTTAGGCATGGTATTCCTCTCCCAAGTCACATGAGGACATGGGATATTTTGTGGAATACTATATTAAGTTTTAAAAATGTAGTTTAACATAGATTTGAACAGTCCCAGGAAACATAGTGTTCTCTCCCTCTTCCATTTTTGCTCTCCTCAATATTTATGGTTTTTTTAATAGCCCTATAGACCAACTTTTTCTGCTTATTAATTCATATATAATAAAACAAGACTTTATGACAGTTATTGAGTTTTACATTTCTATCATTCCAAAACTGGAATGAATGTTATTTTTCCAATTCTTATTGAAGGCACTTTAGTGCAGGCTGAGTGAATATTCTGTTTTATGGTAATCAACTGTGTAGAGAGTAATGATTTATTATTGTACAAATGAAGTCATCTGGAAGTGCGTTATATATGGGGATAAGACAATCTCTGTGTTTACTTGGGAAAGACACCTCACTAGCTACTTGGCACTTAATGAGCGCTGGACAATTATCAGACTTTGATTTCATTCTTCTACACTGTCTTCCTAATTCTCAGGGGAGGATCTCACTTCTGTATCACTGAAGATACCTACACGATTAGGTGAGAGTTGCCATAAATCTCTCCCCACTGGAATTAAAAACTCATTTCCAATTGTTGCCATTCTATTAGTTTTCTATTATTGTATAACACGTTATCATGAATTTAGACGCTTGAAATGACACTCCCTTAGTGGTATCGCAGTGTCTACAGAAGTTCAGCACAGCATGGTTGGATTCTCTGCTCCAGATTTGAAAATTTGAAATCTACAATAAGAGTCACAATACACTGGTGAAAGGAATAAGAGACAACACAAACAACTGATAAAACATTCTGTGCTCATGGATAGGAAGAAGTAATATTGTTAAAATGGCCATACTGCCCAAAGCAATTTACATAGTAAATGCCATTCCTAGCAAACTACCAACTACATTTTTAACATAATTAGAAAAAAATACTCTAAAACTCATATGAATCAAAAATAAAAATAAAAAGCCTGAATTGCCAAACAATCCTAAGCAAAAAGAAAAATGCCAGAGGCATCACGTTATTCAACTTCAAAATATTCTACAAGGCCACAGTACCGAAAACCACATAGTGCTGGTACAAAAACAGACAGACAAACAGAACAGGTTAGAGAACCCAGAAGCAAAGCTGCTCACCTACAACCCTCTTATCTTTGACAAGGTCAACAAAAACAGGCAATAACAGAAGGACTCCCTGTTCAATAAATGACACTGGGACAACTGGCTTGTAATATGCAGAAGATTGAAACTGGACCCTTCTTTTCACAATATAGAAAAATCAATTCAAGATGGATTACAGACTTCAATGTAAAACATAAAACTATAAAAATACTTGAAGAAAATCTAGGAAATACCATTCTGGACATAAGTCCTGGCAAAGATTTGATGACAAAGACTGCAAAGGCAATTGCAACAAAAAGCAAAAAAAAAAAAATTTGAAAACTGTGAATCCAACCAAGGTCTAATATCAATAATCTAGAAGGAACTTAAACAAGTTAAAAAGCAAAAACCAAATAACTCTATCAAAAAGTGGGCAAAGGACAGCAATAGACAGTTCTGAAAAGAAGACATACACATGGCCAACAAGCATATGAAAATGTGCTTAACATCACTAATTATTAGATAAATACCAATCAAAATCACAATGAGACACCATCTCATGCTAGTTAGAATGGCTAATATTAAAACGTTAAAAAATAACAGGTGCTAGTGAGATTGTGGAGAAAAGAGAATGCTTACACACTGCTAGTGAGAACATAAATTATTTCAGCCACTGTGGAAAGCAGTGTGATAATTTCTCATAAAACTTAAGATAGAGCTACCATTTGACCCAGTGATCCCATAATTGGGTATATACCCAAAAGAGTCTAAATCATTTTACAATAAAGACACATGCATATGTTCATCACAGCAGTGTACACAATTATCTGAGTGTTATTATTATCTGGGTGATGAAATAATCTGTACACCAAACCCCTTTGGCACACAACTTACCTATGTAACAAACCTGCACACCTGTCCCTGAAACTAAAATAAAATTTGGAAAGAAAAAAAAATACTAGAATCAAGATGTCATCTAGGACTAGTCTCTTATTTGTGCTTTGGGTTCCTTTTCTGCAGTCACTAGTTATTAGTCAAAGATATGAAATCAACCTAAATGCCCATCAACAGTAGACTGGATAAAGAAAATGTGGTAGATATATACCATGGAATACTACACAGCCATTGAAAAGAACAGGATCGTGCCTTTTGCAGCAACATAGATGGAGCTGGAGACCATTAGCCTAAGTGAACTAATGCAGGAACAGAAAACCAAATATTGTACATTCTTACTTACAAGTGGGAGCTAAACATTGAGTACACATGAATACAAGAAAGGGACTATAGACACAAGGAATTACTTCAGGGTGGTAGAGGGTGGAAATGTTAAGGGATTTTTTGGGGTGTCACTTTTCTGGCAGGAATCTGTGGCTGGTGGTGCCAAAGGTAGAGTTGTGCTTGGGCTTGGTGGGCTCATTCCCCTCACTTGGCCTGGCAGGCTGCATTTGGCTCATGCTACAACCCTGGATCCCATGCCTGCAAGGGAGATTGGAGTCAGGCATGGAGTGGCAATGGGTGTGTGAGCAAGTGTGGGGTCCAGCCTCTGCATGCTGCTATGGGGTGGGCAGCTCCAGGTTCCAGTTCTATTTTAAGGTCCAGCATAGGTGCCAGCTCCCTGGAAGGCTGTGGCTTGAAAGGTGCATCCCAAAGTGCCTCCCCAGCTGGCACTAGTGGATGTGGTGGCACTGGGAAGCTTGGAGGTGCCAGGAATCACAGGGCCGCAAAGAGGCAGTCACAGCCCTGGCTAAGGGAGTTTCCAGGTCTGGATTCCCCGAAAGGCCACAGCTCTTCTCTTTTTCTCTTTGCCCACAACATGGTGAGCAATAAGCATGTTTCAGCCTTGTTTGTGTTACGGCAGCTCTTGCAGCCTCACCATTCAGTAGGTCATGAGTTCTTGTCCTACAACCAGGAAAAATGAAGTATACAGAGAAGTGGAGGGTGAGCAAGACAAAGAGGGGATTTACTGAGCAAGAGAACAGCTCAGAGAAGACCTGCAGTGGGCAGCATCTCTCCATAGCCAGGGTCTCTCAATGAGTGTTCAGCTCCTAGCAGAGAGGGTACCCCCTCTCTGCAGCTGTTTGTCCTATCATCTGCAGCTCTGGGGAGAGATGGTAGCTCTGCTTGCAGCTGGTTTCCCCATTGTCTTTGCTCTGGCTGATCCTGGGGCATTTATGTGCCTCAGAGGAGAGGAAATACATGGTAATTGGTGCACAGACATCCATAGGTGAGCACAGGAAAGTACCACAAGTTCCCACTCCAGTCCACGAGACCGGCAGCTTGGCCCTCAGCCTTCAGCCCTGTCCTTTCCTCAAGGTGGGGACTCACCAGGGACCCAACCCTCCTGCCCAGGAGCCTGGCTATCTCCTGTCGCCATCCATGGCACCCAGGCTGCTCACATCAAGGGGCACCTGAAGGCCAGCACTGAGCCACTCTCAGCCGCCCCCATCAGCTTCCCGCCATACTTCACAGATCCCAAAGTCTGGAGGGGACCAAGGTTGCAGGGCCTGAGCATGTGCACACCCTGCCAGGCTGTGACAGTGCCTGGGCTCAGCCCCAAGCCTGCTCCAGAGCAGGCACTAGGAGCAGGGAGAGGCCAGGAAGCAGGCACCTCCAAGTCTGCAAGGGCAAGGGGGTGACTTCCTGGGCCCCCAAGAGTGCAGGGATTCCTAGTTCCACAATCCTAGTTTTGGCAGCTGCAGCTGTGCCTGGGAGGGTGGAGCTCCTGCCTGCTCTGTGGAGTGGGAGGCCCAGGTCAGCAGCCACGTTTTGGGCAGCTGCGGTGGCACATGGAGAGCTCCCACCCTAGCTCAGACAGGGCGAGGCTCCAACTTATCCCTGGCTGCTGTCAGTACCACTGAGGGTGCAGCCCCAGCCAGGCCTCCCTGCTGCTGCTGGCATGATGACAGTGGCCACTCCAGATGGCCCACTGCTGCCATCAGGAGGAGGGTGAAAATCAGAAAGCTACCTACTGAGTACTATGTTATTATTATCGGGGTGATGAAATAATCTGTACACCAAACCCCTTTGGCACACAATTTACCTATGTAACAAACCTGCACACCTATCCCTGAAACTAAAATAAAATTTGGAAATAAAAATAAATACTGCAATCAAGATGTCAGCTAGGACTAGACTCTTATTTGTGCTTTGGGTTCCTTTTCTGCAGTCACTAGTTATTAGTCAAATTTATTCCCTTTGCAAGTTTTCCACATGGTCACTCCATGTCATTTTGATACTTAAAATATCTCTTATTTCCTTTTCTGCCACATCTGACTGATGTCTTCCTTTCAGGGCTTGAGTAATTACATTGGCATCTACTTCATAATCCAGGATAATCTTCTATTTTAAGGTCAGCTAATTAGTAACTTTAGTTGTGTATTCAATGTTTCTTTTGCCAAATGTAACCATGGGAGTGACGCTGAGGTTGAAATTCAGGGGCAAAAATTCTGCATAAATATCAAAATATGAAAATATGTACTCAAAATTAAAAACAAAGTTTGAGGTTTCTAATTGATGTTATGAATTGAGCATAACACCAACATCAAATTTGACAAAAATAATACAAGGAAACAAACAGCTGTGAAATATCTCTAATGGTTATAAATGGAACTCTTTCAAATAACGTATAGATGAATTTCAGATATGTATTTTTTTCTCCCATTTTTCTGGTCAAATAGTGGCTCAGATGTATGTATTTACAGTTTCTATTACTCATTAAATTGCACTCAATTTGGCAATACATACTATCTTGTTTTGGCTGTGAAAGGACATTTGCACAAGCAATGATCTTCTTCATCCTTAACTATTGTCTATTTATATGATAATTATTCCCATCCCTCAAATAGTCATATTTCTCTTATCTCAAAACAGACAAATACAAATATACAAACTTTTTTCTTTATATATATATAGAGAAAATATATTTATATATATAACTAAATATATAGAGATATATCTCTATATGTAACCCTACATAAAACTATCTCTCTCTATATATATATAACTTTGTATGTAGAGAGGGTTATATATATGTATTTATATACATATAATTATAAATATAACTATAGAGAGAGGGAGAGAGAGATGTTATATATATATGCACACATACACACACACACACACACACACACACACACACATTTTCCTCTGCATGCTTCTCCATTTGGTATTCTTTATAGCAAAATACCTCAAAATAATTGGCTATAGCTCATTCTTTCTGGAACTCACTATTCTACTGACAACAATCTTAGCAGGACATCAATGCCTCCCATGTTTCTATAATAAATAGTAAATTATCAGTCTTCATCTTACCTTTCTTTTTCTTTCTTTTTTTTTTTTTTTGCAGTTGCATGTCTTAATAGAGTGAAAACAGAGCTCCCATACAAAAGAAGGGGACCCAAAGGGGGTTGCCATTGCCGGCTCGAATGCCTGGGTTTATATCCCAATCATTGTCCCTACCGCTGTGCTCTCACACAACAGATGACTGGCTATTTCTTTACCTCCTGTTTTTGCCTAATTAGCATTTTAGTGAGCTCTCTGATTGGTCAGGTGTGAGCTAAGTTGCAAGCCCCGTGTTTAAAGGTGGATGTGGTCACCTTCCCAGCTAGGCTTAGGGATTTTTAGTTGGCCTAGGAAATCCAGCTAGTACTGTCTTTCAGTCCCCCCTCTCAATAGGAAAACCCAAGTGCTGTTGGGGAGGTTGGCTGACAACCACTCTTACTGCTTCCTGCTGAATTGGGGCGTAGTAGGGGTTGTGCAGTTGAGATTTCCTTGGGAGGGGTGCCTTCAATGTCATTAACATCAGAGCACGGGCTAGCAGGCTGGTCCAGGGGTCCGCGGTAGATCTTAGTCATGGACTGCATCTGGGGCTCCATTTGAAGAACTATTTGTAGTTTTACAGCTTTTATTCTGGAAGAGACAAACTTAACAAGGAGGTTAAACACAGGGATTGAAATGTGTGGCCTGCAGTGCAGGGGATTATTTCTTTGTCACACTTCACAGGCCCTGACTATTTGTTTGATAGTTTTGAAAAGGCCTGGTCCAGTAAATAATAATTTGGCCATCTGATGGGTGCTATCAATGCCTAAGTGGAAGGTTTGGTGAAGGGTTTTAAGTAATTTCCATTGGTTAGCTGCAAGCAAAAGTATTCTTCCTTTGTCAGCGGCTAGCCATCCTGATGGGAGGAAACTATGTCCTTGTGAGGTTCGCCATTCTATTTCTTCTTCTGAGTACTGGGGCTTGGTTTCCCGGAGGGAATTACCCCATAGTAGGGGTCCTTCTATAAGCATTTCTAATGGAGGGTCCTGCCTTGCGGCTCTTTTGACTTCAATATCCACTTGGCAGTTACCTTCTATTTCCCTTTCCTTTCCTTTCTGATGACGCTGGCAGTCTAAGACTGCCACCTCTTTAGGTTTCTGTACAGCCAATAATAATTTCTTAATGGCTTCCTGATGTTTGATAGGTGTTCCCTCGGAAGTTAGGAATTCCCTTTCTCTCCATATTGCTGCGTGGGCATGAAGGACTAGGTAAGCATACTTAGAGTCTGCATATATATTTACCCTTTTTCCTTCTCCTAATTTTAGTGCCTGAGTGAGGGCTATTAGTTCTGCCAGCTGAGCACTAGTTCCTGGAGTGAGGGGATTACTTTCAAGTATTCCATTATCACTGACCACAGCATAGCCCACTTTTCAAAGTCCATTTTCTACAAAGGAACTTTCATCAGTATACAGGTTGAGGTCAGGATCAGTCAAGGGAACCTCTAAAAGGTCCCCTTCAGTGGGGTAGGTTTGAGCAATTACTTGTTGACAGTTATGTTCTTTTTTTCCTTCATTGCCTGGAAGAAATGTGGCTGGGTTAAGAGTTGCACAAGTGCGCAGTTGCAGCACTGGCCCTTCAAGTAATAGAGCCTGATATTTAAGTAAATGGTTGTCTGACAGCCACAAGTCTCCTTTAGCAGTGAGTATGCCATTCACATCATGAGATGTCCACACAGTAAGATCTCTTCCCTGTATTATTTTAACTGTTTCAGATACTAAGACTGCTACTGCTGCCACTACCTGTAAACAATGGGGCCAACCCTTTGCCACTACATCAATTTTCTTACTCAGGTATGCCACGGGTCGCAAGCTCATCCCTTGGACCTGTGTAAGGACTCCTAGAGCTATTCCTGTTTTTTTGTGACATATAAAGAAAAGTCTTGCCCCGTTGGCAAGCTTAACACTGGGGCTTGGGTTAGGGCCTTCTTTAGGGCCTGGAAAGCCGCTTCTGCTTCAGATGTCCATCTTACTAAATGGGTATTGGCTTTCTGAGTTTCCTTAATTAGTGTATATAATGGTCTGGCTATTTCGCCATACCTGGGAATCCATATTCGACAGAAACCTGTTATGCCAAGGAACACTGTTGGTTGCTGTAGGGTTTGGGAATGAGGATAAGCCAGTATAGGCTGGATACGTTCCTCACTGAGGGCCCTGGTGCCTTTGGATAATTTTAGCTCTAAGTATTTAAACGGCTGTGAGCAGACCTGAGCCTTTGGTTTGGAAACCTGTAGCCACAGGTGATGAGGAAATTAAAGAGCACTTGGGTGGCTTGATGGCACAAGATTTCTGAACGGGTGGCTAAAAGTAAATCATCCACATCCCGAAGGACAAGAGTGTGGAGGTATGAGAATTGGCTCAATTCTTGGGCTAATGCCTGGCCAAATAGATGGGGCTATCCCTGAACCCGTGGGGTAAAACCGTCCAGGTGAGTTGAGACACTGGGTTCGAAGAATCTTCAAAGGCAAACAAGAATTGAGAGTCAGGATGTACAGGGATGCAGACAAAGGCATCCTTAAGGTCCAGGACTGTAAACCACTCTGCTTCCTCTGGTATTTGGGAAAGCAGAGTATAAGAATTAGCTATAGCTGGGTATAGAGGAACAACAGCCTCATTGATAATCCTGAGATTTTACACTAACCTCCACTGTCCGCTGGGTTTCTGTACTCCTAAAATTGGAGTCTTGCAAGGGCTATTGCATGGTTTTACTAGGCCTTGGGCTTTTAGGTCCTTAACAATCTTTTGGAGTCCTTGTTGGGCCTCAGGTCTAAGGGGGTACTTGCCTTTTGTAGGGAAAGGAGGCGGAATCCTTTAGTTTAACTTGAACAGGACAGGCATTCTTTGCTCATCCATATTGTCCTTCTGTTGCCCAGACTTCAGGATTAATTCCTTCCTCAAGCAGGGGACAACAAATGGGTGTTCCTCCTCCTATGTTCAGGTGTATAATGGCCCCTGCTTTTGCTAGAATGTCTCTCCCTAACAAGAGAGTGGGGCTTTCAGGCATAATTAGAAAAGCATGTGAAAAGAGTAAAGTTCCCCAGTCATAACTTAGTGGCTGGGAGAAGTATCTAGTGACTGGCTGTCCTAGGACCCCTCAGATAGTGACAGATTTGGAAGACAGTTGTCCAGGACAGGAGAGTAAGACTGAGAAGGCTGTGCCAGTGTCCAGGAGACAGTTAACCCCCTGACCCTCAATGGTCAAGCATACCCGGGGCTCTGTGAGGGTGATGGCATGGGCTGGCGCTTGCCCTGGGCACCCTCAGTCCTGCTGCTGGATCATCTGGTTAGTGTCTTCTGACTCAGAGGACCTTCGTCCCCTGGGGCAATGGGCCTTCCAGTGATTCCCTTGACATAAGAGGCATGGACAAGGCGGCGGCTTATTTCTACTTGGACAGTCTTTTTTAAAGTGTCCTTGTAGAACACACTGGAAGCAACCCCTATTAGGCATTCAATTTGCCCAGCTTTTCCCTTTTCCAGAACCTCCAAAGTCTGCTTGCCTGAGGGCCATGACTAAAGCAGTGGCCTTTCTTTTAATCTCATTTGTCCCGTTCCACCTGCTCCTCCTGATCTCTATTATAAATAACCGAGATTGCCAAGTTCAATAGGGTTTCTAAGTTTTGCTTCGTGTCTAAGGCAGACTTTTGAAGTTTTTTCCTAATGTCTGCAGCTGACTGAGTGATAAACTTATCCTTTGAGATTAGCAGTGGTCTCAGTGTTTTCAGGCTACGCCCTTGTTTACACTGACAACAAGGTAATATTGAAGTATTATAGGGTCATGGAGAAGACCTTCAATTATCAATTATAGTTTTAAATTTACCCTGGCTTTTAAAGGAATAGGGCACACTGGTTTTTTTCTTTTTTTTTTCTTACTATTTTTATCTTTCTCTTTCTTTTCCTATTTGACTCCTTCTTTGTCTCTGTCTCTCTCCTCCATTTCTCTCTCTCTCTCTCCCCCATCTCTCTCTCTCTCTCTCTCTCCCCTCTGTCTCTCTCTCTCTCTCTCCCCTCTGTCTCTCTCTCTCTCCCCTCCATCTCTCTCTCTCCCCTCCGTCTTTCTCTCTCTCTCCTCCCTCTCTCTCTCTCTCTCTCCATCTCTCTCTCTTAGTTATTACAAACTTGGGGCCCTGGCAAGGGTGGTGGGGAATGGGTCCCACCTGGGTTATAGCCTAGGTGCCTAAGGACACAGCATAGAGCTTCCTTGGATCCCTTTGGAAATACAACTTGCTAGAGGAAATGAAAGTCTGAACCATTAGTACCCAGGAGGCAGGGATCAGTAGTAGATTCAGAGGTAAGGAGAATTTTGGGGCTACACTTTCAAGAAAGTTGTGGTCGGGACCCAGGAGGTATGGGTCAGAAGGAAAGGTAGGGGCGCAGGCATGGGCGACTGTTGAGTAGAGACTTCTGGCTGCGCCATGATCTCAACCAGCTAATGCCGGGAATTTGGGACAACAGCTTTCTGCCTCTAGTCGGCCCTTGGCTTCCCCAAGAAAATTGAAAGTGGAAGCTGGCTCCAGGCAGACCAATGTCCCCAACCCAGGTTGTTAGAAAGTCCTTCCCCAGATAGCTTCACACATGAGTCTTAAGTCCGGTGGCCATGCTAATCGTTTTTAACTGGCCGACAGGTGCCCGGTATTTTCCTCCAGTTCTAAGGAAGGATAAGACAGAATAAGTGGTGAGTAATATTGGACCACTTTCATCCTTCTTTTCTATCAGAAGCACCTGATGCAGTTGCTGTACCTTCTTGTTCTAACAGCAGTACCTGATGCAGATGTGATACCTTTCTTTACCACCTCGCTCAATTTCCAGGACATCTTGCTCTCCCAGTTTTTCTTTCATATTTCACTGCTGCTCTTTCTCAGCTTCTTTTGATCTCCATCATATTGCAGTATTTGGGGCTCAGCCTTTGGCTCTTGTCACTATTTACAGAAACTCCTATGAAATTTTATTGTGTCTTTTTTTATGGCATGAAATGCCACCTATATAATAATCCCCAAATGTATGACTCTATCTAGTACCTCTATTTGAACTTCTAACTCAGATATGCAATTGCCTAATTGAAATCTAGACTTAGGTGATAATGAGCATCTCAATGCTAACTTGTCTAAATCAAACTCTGGATTTCCATTCTCTTCCCTTAACCTTGTTTCTTTGTATCTTTATCTCAGTTAGCTCCAATTCCATTGCCCTAGTTCAAAATCTTGCAATCCTGTATGATGACTCTTTTCTTCTCATGTCTAATATTTGATATATCAGTAAATCTTATCAGCTGTATTTCAAAACATCTAGATTCTAGTCACCTCTCATCAGCTCCATGACACCTACACAGGTCTGACTTTTCCTTATTTCCTACATGGGTTACTACAGTTGACTCTTAACCAGTTATCTGAGTTCACCCCTACTCCCTTTATTCTATTTTAATCACAACATAGTAATTATTTTGAAGTTAAATTCAGATTACATCACTTTTCTTAAAACCTTCAAAGAAGTCAGTTACTATTTGCCTCAGAATAAGCCATTGCTGTTAGCTATATGATCTTGCATCCTGTTACCTCCCTGACCTCATCTCCGTTTAAATTCCCAACATTTTTATTCCACTCCATTACTTTATTTTTCTTAATAACAATTATCATGTAGTATTTTGTGCGTATGTCCTGTCTTCTCATTCCAAAATATTAACTCTATGGGGGGATTGTGGCTGCCTCTGCTATGTTATATAGTTCTCCAGGTTAGTGGGGAATAGCCAGTAGTGGAAGGCCTCACTCAGCTCCCGTGCAGTTGGCAAGGCTGGTGTCACTCCTGCAGTGCCCCACTCAGACTTTGCCCCAGGCTATCAGCTTCCCTCCTGAGAAAGCAAGCACAGGTTTCAGGCCTCCCTCTTCCCTCCCTGTCTGCCCATACTGTCAGTGGCAATTCCTGTGCTCTTAACTGCAGCAGTTTCCGTTCATCCCACAAATTCTGCTCAATAAAATTTGTGTTACAAATCTCAGTTTGAAGCTTCTTTCATCCTATAACTTCTTCCTAATTCCACTGGCTGCCTTCCAAGAGATCCCCTGTGAGATGTAGTCAGGGATGGCTTCCCTGGGTTCAAGCTGGAGACTGAGAGTGCCTACAAGGCTCTTCCCACTGCTGCTTCTACTTTTTTTTTTATTTTGCCCAGCTTCCTAAATCTCCTTCAGCTCTAGGTTAAATATTTCTCTTGTGACCTGGATTTTCAGATTCCCCAGTAAGGATATGTGTTCAGAGGCAGGATTCCCTACCTCACACTTGGGAAACTCAGTTTTTCACTTGTCTCACAGAATTTGCAGTGGTGTGCTACTTCTTTCAAAGGATCTGTGAATTCTTTCAGTTTTCCTGGTATGTTCCTGTCTTGGCTCTTTTAGCAAAAGTTCATGATGTGAATCTCCACACACTGTTCTTCCCATCCAAGTGGGAGCTGCACATTAGCCCTGCCTGCTACTCATCATCTTCCTCAGACTCTCCTTCAGATTGCCTTTTTTATGAGGTGAAAAAAGGGGCCTTTGTTTGTTCTGGGCTCTCATATTCCTTAATTCATAAGAGAAGAGAAGGGTAGACTCAAGTCTAAGAGAGAGAGGGAGAAAAAATTCTGGGGAAAGCTTTTGCTGATGTTTTATGGCATTCTTCCTTTCACACCAACATCTGAGGCCAGAATGGATGCACCATGAAAGAGAATGGTACTTCTCTGCATATGGTCAGAGCTTGGATTAGAGAAGGAAGTTTCTGAAAGAAGGGTGCAGGTGCAATTCAGAAAGCCCACTGGAAGATGTCATGCCAGCATATAGCCACTGAATTCACTAGAATATACTTTCCTTCTCTTCATGCTCATATTTTTGTAGGTAAAATTTTTCAATTATTTTCATTTCACTGTGTTTTTAATGCATGTTGCCTCAAAAATGTTATGGAAGAAATAAATACATTTGAACAAAAATTCAGTTGAACTGGGGATTCAGAAGCTGTCAGTGAAAAAATGAAGCTTTATGTGGGATTTAATCAATGTGTAGGATATTTGAAAAGCAAAATATAACTTGGAGACTTTAAGTAGACCAAACTGGAGAAGATGAAATGTGACTAAGCCTTGTGGGGGCTACTTATCTCAAAGTGAAAATACTGATTGGACGACACAAATGAGCAGATAAAATAAACAAGACAATGTGGAAAATTAACAATTTCTTTGAATTAAGAGTGATAGGACTGAAGGCTGCATGGCCAGGTGAAAAATCAGAGCTTGACCCAATCATATCCATTTCACTATTTTGAACACATTCATAGATTCTGCATATTCTGGGAATATAGATAGATAGTTATAAGACAATTAATGTTTTAAAGGGAAAATAACACTTATCTACAATTATGTATCATTAAGTATTCTTTACTATGGGAAGAGCTATCGTAGGTACTTTGTTATTACAATACAAGTCAAGCTCATCTTGCTCCAAAAGAAGCTCCTTTTTAAACTATGAAAGATCACCCCAAGAAAAAACTTGGAACATAGTAGTATAAAGAAAAGTACATTTTAGTAATCTAACTATTGGTCTTTATAGAACTATGTGTGTTATTAGACAATATACATTCCCAATATAGTAACTAATTTGTCCTTATATGTAAATAAAAGAGTCTAAGAATAGAAATCCACCACTAGACATTTTACTCTCATAGGTACCTTTGCTTTATTTTATTCTTATACAAGCCCTAAGTTAAAATTGCACAGAACAAATGCTCGGCAGTTTGGAGTGCATTGTCTATTGTTCCTCAAGTACCATCTGGCACAGCAATCTTGACTGCAGAAAGTGCTTAATGACCATCCTGACTGATGGTTATAATAGATGCATCTCTGCTACTTTTGCAAGATCTATGAGTAATTATAACCAGAAGGATGACAGTCACAAATCTCAACGGAGTGTTCAGTTGTTTCCAATTCCTAAGACATTTTAAGAATGTGAAATTCAGCAAGACAAACAAACGAACAAAAAAAAAGACTTGTTAACAAAGTTATCATATATAATAAAATATCAAGTAAACAAAAAAATCACGCCACTGAATTTTTGTTCTGTGCATGACTTGTTCTGTTACATGACTTCTTTTCAGGAAGCTAAAGGGAAAAAATTGTTTCTATTTCATGAACAAAGGCAGCATTTCCCTGAACCTTCTCAAATAATAATATCTAACAAATTCTATGTGTGAACCATGAAATTAATAATGGCAAAGATAGAAAGGAGACAAAGTAAATCAACAGGGGATGACAAATAGCACAAGTGTGTAGTGAGACTCTTGGAAGCATGAGAATTATATTGAATGCTAATTGTCACTTAAATACTTACTTATGACTTCTACATTCCTAGTCCAGATCCCTCAGAGGACTTATAAAAAACTGTAAGTACACATTTTGTACATGAACTCAGAAATCTTACTTTGAGAAGTAATACCTAATATTTTGCATATTTCACTTTGTTACATAAATATATTTCAGATCTCAAGAAATTAGTCAAAATTAAATTTAACTAAATAAAAGAATCACCATACTTATCAAATTTTGCCCAGAGCTAGTAATTACCAGTAATAAAGAAAAATCACCTTTAGTATCTAACTAGTATTTTGTAAGCCTAAATTGCACTACAAAGCTGCATTTATTATTTATGATGATAATATTACATTAATACACTGAAACTAGCTATGTTGTTTAAAATAAATGTCATGCTCATATTTGTAGATGATATTACTGTTCCTCCGTTGTTTCCTTTTAAGAAGTGTCTTCTATATATTACATGTGCTAAGTCATGCAAAGATTAAAAAGATAAGACTCTTGACTCAAGGAACACACAACTTAGGAATCACGTAGTCTAAATATTTTCCAGCAATGTGAACTAGATGGATGCACTAAATCATCTATCTTCTCTGGATGCTTGTCATCATGACCAGTGCTGTAGCTTTGCCAAGCCACTGGCTACCATACCTATCACACTCACCAAAATAAGGATACAGCCAGGGAAGATAGATAGTGTATTATTATTAGACAGAACTATTTTTAGATATGCAAGATATCTCTACAATCTACTTTGACTTAATTAACTTTATGACATATTCTAGACAGAGCCACAGCAGCAGAGTTCTGTAACACACAAAAGGCCAAAATTGGCTGTGTGTGTAAACAACAAAAGTACAATCCATACAAATGTGCTTGCTGCCATTAATCAAGTTAGAGCAATGTCAATCATTAAAAATTCTGATTCATACCACAATCTTTGACCACCGTGGAAATCTATTGAATGTTAAAATTACTTGCAAGAGTCTGAGTTGGAAAGTAAGGTTGTCTCTATAACTTATCACCAGCCCTCCTTTCTGTCTCAGGCTCTGTGCACTATTTGGTAAGATCCTAAAGAGCAGACTCTATGTCGTATTTATTAATTCAGTATTCAAAGTATTGAAGACAGTATCTGAATTGGAAGGGTGGCACATCATGATGAAATCTAGTCTGAGGATAGACTATAAGATGCTTGAGGCGGAGTATGTTGTTAGACATCTTCTCACATTAGATTAAATAAATCGCATCTGTATCTCTTTTCTGTACAGGAATTCTAAGGCAAGCTATTTCATCAGTAGTAGATTTTGATATGTAGAAGTCCATATCATGTCTTAATATAATTACTAAATTCTAATTATAATCATATTCTACATATGTAAATTTTATATCTTGCAAAGATAACCCATGTAAGGGTGATTCTATACTTGTACTTAACTTCCTAGGTTTTGTTTATTTCTATCGCTCCCTAGATTTGCACCTTTTAGGTGTGTTTATGGAAATGTGGTTGTATATCAGAATTCATGTATAATTCTATATGTTGAATACCCAGGAAATGTAATGGGGTCTCAGAAAATTCTTTAAAATGTAATATTTTTTACCTCTCATTATGTTTCAAAAATGAGCATTAAATTATTATGTAACAAAAACACCCCTTCATTGTAAAATATTATCTGAATTTTATAGACATCTTTTAAAACTTTCAGATACATTCTTTTTTGCTTAAATAATACATTCTGAGTAGAGTTTGTGTGTGTGTTTAGTCACTAATAGACTAATATATGTCTTCCTTTATTTTCTTTTCTTAGTTCTGATTCAGATCATAATGGTCTGGATTACGGTTATTGCCCCTTAATTATCCAATACACCATAAGCATTTTCTCATGCTAATACATTTTAGCTCCGAAAATGAGTTTTCTGTAACATGAAATAGAATACAGTAATACAAAATAATACATGCTGGTGCAGTGTCTCATGCCTGTAATCCTAGCAATTTTGGAGGCCAACACAAGAGGACTGGTTGAGGCCAGGAATTCAAGACCAGCCTGGGCAACACACAGAGACCCTGTCTCTACGAAAAAAAATACAAAAATTAGCCGAGTATGATGTTGCATTCCTGTAGTCCCAGCTATTTGGGAGGCTGAGACAGGAAGATCCTTTGAGCCCAGGAGCTTGAGGCTGCAGTGAGCCAAGATTGTGTCACTCCATTCCAACTTGGGTAGTGGAGCATTACCTCATCTCAAAAAGAAAATAAATAATAAAAAAAAAACACCTGCTACAAACACAGAAAAAACAAATAACAAACAATATCCAAAAGCCACACACACACATAACCGAAACTTAAAACACTCCTATATTTTACATACTATGTAAAGAATAAAGTCCACATTTCTTAGTAAAACATACAAAAGCCTTTTCAATCCAACAACCAACCCAATTATTATCTATTAGTTTCTCAATTGTGCCCATGTTCCAGCTATATTAAAATGAATCCATTTTCGGAAAGCAACAGTTAATTTAACCCTGTGGAAAACTGATATAAAAATGATTATTGAACATCTCTATTTTTTTAAAAAAGGATTATTTCAATTATTTTATATGACATTTCCTCTCTTTGGAATGCCCTTCACTGCTGGTCATTGATTTGCCAGTCACTGACCTCTCCTACTTGTTTTTATGACTTAGTTGCATTGTCTACTGTATTAGTCCATTTTCACGCTGCTGATAAAGACATATCTGATACTGGAAAATTTACAAACGAAGGAGGTTTAATGGACTCACAGTTCTACTTGGCTTAGGGAGCCTCACAATCATGGCAGAAGGTGAAAGGCATGTCTCTTATGTCTCTTATGGTGGCAGACAAGAGAAGAGAAATTGTGCAGGCAAACTCCCCTTTTTGAAACCATCAGATCTTGTGAGACTGTATTCTATTTCATGTTATAGAAAACTCATTTAGGAGCTAAAATGTATTAGCATGAGAAAATGTCTATGGTATATTGGATAATTGAGGGGCAATAACTGTACTCCAGACTATTATGATCTGAATCGGAACTAATGAAAGAAAATAAAGGAAAACATATATTAGACTATTAATCACTAATTATGTTTCTAGCACTTTACATTATGATATATTATTTACACATCTATCTTAATGTGAGGATGTCAGTTTTAACTTCTGTTCTAGTTTTACTGATGGTCGTGTACTGAGGGCAAAGCCGATTATGATTTTTAAGATTTGTTGGATTCTAGGTCCCAGCAGGAAGTGAAACCATTAATGGTGTCCATCACTTGAAAAACATGTATGTAAGAAGAATGTTCATGGAAACCAAATGAAGAAAGGGACTCATAAGTTAACTGAAGAAGGAGACTCATTCTTCATTATCTCTCGGTAATGACTTTAGAGAGTAAAGAGGTCTAGCAGATAACTTTTGCTTAGGAACTTGTAAAATGGTAATTTCGAATATGAAAATGAAGAATAGCTTGCAAGTAAAGTGTCCAAGCTCCTGAAAGGTTGTGGAAACTCTTTAGGAACAGAGTTGAACCTACACACATAGTAATTGGGTTGGCAAAGGATTCTCAAACTCTGAGGATATGTTAAGTATGAGAAATACAGAAATGTGCTTTTTTAAGCTGTAACTGTATTTGTCTCATTTATAATGTTTATTTTCCAGTAGATCTTCTTTGTATTTAGAGAAAGTTTTAAAAAATTTTTAGGCTTTCTCAGCTAAAATAAGAGGAACCAAAGGGGGAGGGTCTTTTGCCCATACTGGAGCAAGAGCTGTAACCCAGAATCTCTCAAACGTGAAATGAAGTTTAAGGAGGCTGAATTGAGCTCACTGCTACAGTAGCCCTTCCTACACTTAGTTTCTATTTTGTTCCATGGAGAATGTGAATTTTATTTCTTAGAAAACTGGTAATAAATTATACTTTATTTAGTTTCTCAACAGTAGTTCTTCAAGGGTCTGTATTACATTTGTTCTTACTTAGTTGTATTTTTCTTGCTTTTTCTACACAGATTGTCAATAAGAAATTTGTTAGAAATACAAATAAATGAAGCAATGATTTAACATTTTATATATATACATCTCATATACTCTTCTTTAATAGCAATATCCATACAATCTACTGAGGTAGTAGAGCTCATGCAGGTGTATGCTAGCACATAATAGTAATACAAATGACTATGATTTGTTACTAGATTTTTATTTCCCCCCCTAGATGTTAGAGTAGTCATCTTTCCTTTTAACTACTCTCACAGAAAATTGTTTTAAATGCAAGTTTCTCCCTCCCTGATTTATGGCACATTTGGAAACCAAGAGGTTGATCATTTGTGGAAGGAATTAAAATGGTCTAAAATAAACAAATACAATGATATCAATTCAGCTGTTTACAGATCATTTGGGTTGTTTTTCTCGATTATCTCAAGTGCAGTCCGCTTACTTGAGACTGACAAATAAACGTTGGCCTTGCTAGCAAGATTCAATTTTAACAATAGAATTTGGAGTTAAGGATTTCATATATGCTTCATTCAGGGAAATTTGTGTTATTAAAGAGGCTAAATATTATTGTTGATAGTTGATGGTAACCACACTGATCTGCTGGCTTCTCCTTTTTCTATATGACTCTGTGAATTGATAAGGATGTTTTATCTTCTTAATAGAGATAAATTAATTACTTCTGTACTTTCCATCAAATAGAGTCCAGACATAGCCAGGAATAGAGATTCTTGTAAATGAGTTAGGTTGAAAAGTCAGCATAATGAATTTTTACTTCAGTTCTATTACCAGTGAATATATCCTAGTATTGTGTGTATAGATGTTAGTATTTTTAGGTGATGCCTGATGCCTATACATATCAGACTATCTGCTGACCTGACAGAATGGATTTGGTTGAATTTGTATGTGTCATTGCTCATTCTACCACAAAACATACTACCATATACCCATTTCCTTATTGAAGTTGAAAAGAGATCTGTCCAAGAAGAGAATTCTAAGGCATCATTTGAAAAGTGCCTCTCTTTAGTGGAAAGTTTATATTTCTACATTAAATTTTTTTCTGCTATTGATAATTTGAAATGTTTATGACATTTTAGCTGATGTACCTTGAAATGTCATTTTCCAGCTTCTGTCATATAACTGTTGTGTGCTCTTGACCATGGATATAAATTTCTTGGTGGTACCCAGCTAAAGCCTGTTATTTGATTTCCTGTCTTCTTGAACGGTTTGTTTTATTTACTTGAAGAGAGATGTGGGTGGAATAACTGTCCCTAGTTCTATTACAAAATTGGGCAATGGGAGGCCGAGACGGGCGGATCACGAGGTCAGGAGATCGAGACCATCCTGGCTAACACGGTGAAACCTCGTCTCTACTAAAAATACAAAAATTAGCCAGGCATGGTGGCGCGCGCCTGCAGTCCCAGCTACACGGGAGGCTGAGGCAGGAGAATGGCGTGAACCCGGGAGGCGGAGCTTGCAGTGAGTCGAGATCGCACCACTGCACTCCAGCCTGGGCGACAGAGCAAAACTCCGTCTCAAAAAAAAAAAAAAAAAAATTGGCAATATTTGCAACTCAATCTCTGTGGTTGCCTTTGTAAAGTTGTCTTTGTAAAGTAAAGAAGGACATTTGAATTTGTAATCAATTATTTATTTCAGCTTCAAATAAGTGTCTACTTGCTGGCTAAGGAGCCAATATCTGTTTAGATGACCAGCTATAGTGCTGTTACATTCAAATGTAGAGAATGCTCAACAATATTAACATCAGCAGAAGGATATGTATTTTGGCTCTTAAATTTTAGTATTTTTGCTCTTGAAATGACCTGGCTGAAGGTTGCACATTTTTACACTCTGGCTCACTTTTGTACAGTTTTAGTAACTAGAAAACCATTTCCAAAATATTGTTGTCAGCTGCTGGCCTATTGTCAGTCTAATCTAATTGCTTGGCCAAGATCCCAAGATCCCTTGTTTTTGTTCTGTTGGTCTTTCTTTTTTTTCCATGCAAAACATAGAATTTCTTTGTTCTGTTCTGCAATCATCAAAAGGGATTGGACTTTGATACGCCCTGTTCAAATAGCGTTATTAGATATTTTGCTGAAGACAGTAAAAGGCATTATTTAGGACAATATTAACTTTATTTCTTAAACTCTTGATCCTCCAGAGCAGATTTCTTGAAAGCTATTGTCAGAGGGATGTGAACCAGAGCACCTCCATTTTGAATAGGAGCTGAGTAAAATTAGGCTGAGAACTCCTGGGCTGCATTCCCAGATGGTTAAGGCATTCTAAGTCACAGGATGAGATGGGAGGTTCGCACAAGATACAGGTCATAAAGACCTTGCTGATAAAACAGGTTGCAGTAAAGAAGCTGGCTAAAACCCACCAAAACCAAGATGACGATAAGAGTGACCTCTGGTTGTCCTCACTGCTACACTCCCTTTAGCATCATGAGAATTTTCAAATGCCATGGCAATGTGAGGCAGTTACCCTATATGGTCTAAAAAAGGAGGCATGAATGAATAATCCACCCCTTGTTTAGCATATTATCAAGGAATAAATACAAATGGGCAGCCAGGAGCCCTCAGGGCTGCTGTGTCTATGGAGTAGCCATTTTTTTTGTTCTTTTACTTTCTTACAAATTTGCTTTCACTTTACTCCATGGACCCGCCCTGAATTCTTTCTTGTGGGAGATCCAAGAACTCACTGTTGGGGTCTGGATTCCGACCCCATTCCTATAACAGTATCAATCTGTTAACAAGCATTGAATGTGGCCTTCAAGGAATTATTGATAAATGTTTACTTTCATTGTTTTATTTCAGGCTTTCTAAATCTTCCAGTAGACACATATGTTGGCATCCTGCATCTGATTTATATAGTTATTTGTTTTGTTACTCATAGGAAAACAAACGAATCCATTTGTTTTTTAAAATTAGTGTGGACATATAAATCTGCCTGCATTCATGCTACTAATTTACATAGGGACTTTGTTAGAAATTTACAAATTTATTCCAAAATCTGTCTGTGTACTCAACGTTTACTATCAGTTCTTCTCACAGAGTATGTAGTAAAGAGATGAAACCATAAAACTCATGTCAATACTGTAACACTGTCTAAAGTGTTTTGTAAATGGTAAAATTATAGCAATACACTTTCTGTAAATGAATTTGGTTTTAATAGCACAGGACTCTAGAGATCCTTTGGTTTCTGATTTAGAATGCTAGCCTAAAGCAGGTTGAAAATTAAAGGTTGAAATAGCTTGGTTATCCATGACGTTTTACTACTGTGTTACTGCTGTGGATATAGAACTGATTATTAAAATATTTGTTTCCCCAGTGGGATTTTCATTTCTGGTGTTTTGATCGTGATAAGAGCAGTATTCCTTTAACTGTCCCTTTGGGTATGATAAAATTATTTCAAGTAAATGAGAGTTAATCATAGATTTCATATAAGCTGGACGATCTTTTATCACTACACTGAGAGGTAGTAGCTGACATCTGCATTTCTTGCTTTCCTTTGTCTATTGATTTTATTACCAATGATTATGTGAGTACACACCATTTCTATTTTATTTTGATAGGGTCTGCTCCTCTTCTGTTACAGTTTGCAGTCTACTCTGTGGGTAAAGCTATTCTCTGAGTATTGATGTAAGAAGAAATATTACTGAAGTAATAGGTATGCCAGCTACCTATTGTAAAAGTGATTAACAGCAAAATGAAGCTTACCTGTAATGACTGGAATAACAGAACAAATGTGTACACGTTTGTAGACACACACATGTGCACACACATACACACACAATTGCTTCTGAAGCACTCAACAAACTATTATTTTATAAATCATCTATTCTGGTGGGTAACAAGTTTGTGAATCTTCTATTTTTTTTGTTTCCTGCAGTAATTAAAGGGTCATGACTTCTTCCTCATTCCTGGTAGTAATTCACAAATTCGTGACATAGGTATGTGCTACTGATTGTTTACATAATCTGTTTTTGATGAGGGTGTGCAACATAGCTACACACTGTCTATCTCCAAATGGCCGAATCTAAACTGAAAGCTGACTTGGGCAGGCTGACATTTTGCTGGCTTTCAAATTGATAATTTTTATACTTACTACTTACTTCAAGGAGATAAAAATTAGGAAAAGACTGAGGTTATGAGCAGTGTTACATATATGAGAAGAAAAAGAGAGAGAGATTAGTTATCTATGTTACCTATTAGTTATCATCATCTTTCCTTAACCACAGAGATATATGGGAACAAGCTATAAAAATACAGAAAAGCACCTATCTTGGCAAAATAAGCATACTCATGAAGAATTAAATGTATAACAAATAAGATAGAAGAAAAGAAACAGCAGCTATATAGCCAGTCACACATGTATGTAGGTATGGAGGGTGTGTGTATGTGTATATGGTTGCATAAAATATAACTGAAAATCAGACACATATTAGCTGAATAAAGTATTTATTCATTCATTTATTTATTAATCCATCCACTCATTCATTCCGCATCCATTTTGCACTTGTGCTAAGTGCCTGATGGTGAAATCAGTGTTTTTTAACTAATATTGAACAGTTGCTCTTTTTATAAATGAAATTATATTTTCTTAACAGGAGGTTCACAAGAAGAACCATTATGGACTAAATATAATAGATAAGAAGTTATCTAGTTTCACTATGCATAGGTAAAATTTACCTTTTCTTCAAAGGAGTCTGTGAGGATTTTTATAAAGGCATATATATATATATTTTTTTTCTGCTAAAAGGCCATACATTTTCTCCAGTGTAAATCCATATTAAGTAACAATAGGACGGAGTTGAGTATATAGGATAAAAATTACATAAAAATTGTAGACTCTTCTGTATATTGGAGTGGGGATACCTATGCCGGAGTTAAAAACTTGGAGAAATTGTAACTTGTAGTGATAGACAAATGACATTGTATTTAGCCTGGCTGAGCTGGAACCTGAGTATTTACATCTTTGATGTGACCTTGGGAAATGAGTTAATGCTTCTGGTCATTCATCTGTTAATCTGTATAATGGGAATGATAATAATAACCAGCTCCAAAGGATTATGTGAAGATTGAATGAGATCATGTATGTAAATCCCTTGACCTATAATAAATCCACAGTATATAGTATATGTTAGTGCTCTGTCTCTCTCATATATATTATACATATATATAAACACATATCTGTAATTATAATAATAATAAAAAAATCATTGGTTTAGCATCTTCAAAACAATTTTTAGTTGGGCTGTTACTTAGGACACAGATATTCAATATCAGCATTTTCAAAGATCAGGAAATATGACAACCTTTATGGCAGTGCCAGATATGTTTTTATGAAATGATAAATGGTCAATTAAATATATTTAGGGTGACATTATTGGGAAAATATTATGAAGTTTTGATGCATTTCACTTTAAGTGACTGAAAATGAGGGTATCTTTATTCTTCGTCTACCAAAAATGCTTTACATAATAAAGCATTCTAAAAAGAATAGTTGAAGATGAGTAGTCACAATGGTTGTTTTATTTTAAAATTAAATTGTAACTATATTCTTCCACTGACTTACCTAGAATCATTTAAGTATGCTCCTAGTGGAAATGGATGATTTGGATCAGCAGGAAGGGAGTATATTTTCAAAAACTGAGGGGATGAAAAGCATCAATGAAATGCTATATATTCTTTAACATTCAATTCAAGTATTATTTAATATTTGTACCCTGGAATTTTCTCTAACTACCTTCTTTTAAAAGTTTGCTATTTTTTCAACTCTACTTCCGTAACACATAGTACCTGACCTTTTTTATATCAGGTATAGCTCTTTTTCATATACCTATTTTCTTGACCTCAAGGACAGAAAATTAATCATGTTTTAACAGGTTTTGTTGCTCCAGCTTCTTAATGGTTTTGGTAGTTCTAGGTTATGAAATTTTCTATAACTCTTTCATTTAAGAATTTATTATTTCTTCTCTACTTCAATAATAGTATAGAAACATCTTTTATAGTGTGTGTAGGTCTTTTCCTTATAGCTATCTTCCAAACCTCAGAGACAAAACTTAATACTGTTTTAATGGGCTTGGTAGCTACAGTTTCTAATCCAGTCATGTAGTATGAATGCTTTTCTACTTTTTCTATAAATAATTTGTGAATATAAAACATAGCAGTATAAAATAATGTTAGAATGGGACAATTCCTATCTTAAATATAACACACCAAAGTGACTGTGTGAAAAGCACAGCTCCTACATACAAACATTCACAAAGGAATAGTAGGGAAATTTTTTTTTACCTTTTGAATCTCTTGTAGAGAAATTAGAGAAAAGAGAGAACACTGTTCTAGAGATCTCTTTGGAATATTTTTGTCCTGCATCACATGCCCACAGTAGAAGGAAGATGGTGAGGCAGTGATACCTTCTAACGTCCAACTTTCTTTTATTAAATGCTTTTATAAATACATAAAAATTGTACCTATTTATACATAGCAAAGTAGCACATGTATGCATATGTATATATTTGCTATACATATATGTAGTAGAATAGCATGAGTGCGAATGTGTGTGTATATATATACATATACATACATATATATGTGTGTATACATATATATTTTATGTAATGATTAAATCAGGGTAATTGGGATGGCCATCATCTCAAACATTTGCTATTTCTTTGTTAGGAACATTTCAAATCTTCTCTTTTCACTATTTTGAGACGTATAATAAATTATTGTTAACTATAGTTGCCCTACTGTTCTATAGAATATGACAACTTATTCTTTCCATCTAACTGTATTTTGTAGCCACTAAACCCCCTACAATTTCCATCCCCTGGTAACTATCATTTTACTCACTACTTCCATGAGATCAATTTTTTTAGGTCCCACATATGAGTGAGAACATGAAATATTTGTTTATTGCAGCACTATTACCAATAACCAAGAAATGGAATCAATTTTAGTGTCCATCAATAGATAAATGGATAAAGACAACATGATATGTACACACAAAAGAATATTATTCAGCCATAAAAAGAATAAAATTCCATAATTTGCAGCAACATGAATGGAACTGGAGGACATTATGTAAAATGAAATAAGCTAACATCCAACTCCTGAGAGATGTTTCAAGGTAATCACTTGGGCAGTTATGATATCTCTTACCTCCACTGAAGAGAAAACATATTTGTGTCTGACTTAGCGTCTCTAAGAAAGCTAAAGTGCACCTTTGGGGTCTGAAACTTATGGAAACCTAGAAGTTTAAAGAAGGGCTGAACTGAGTAGCTGCTTGAAGGCAGGGGAGTTCAAAAGTCATGTTGTTTCGATATTACCCTGATATCATGGAGATTTTTAACATGGGGTAAAATAACCATGAATAAGATAAGGCAGAGAGGGAGATACTGAGTTTGGTCATCTTTTGTCCTGCCTAATTTTTCTTGGAAGGGACTGGACCCCCAAGAGAAAGAAGAGGATCTTTCAGATATTGAGAGGTGTGTCATACAAGGCCTCACCAAGGTCACTGGAACTGGAAAGAAAGTAGCATAATGAGGAACCTTGAAGGAAACAATTGTAGTGCCATCAGTCGAGTAAGAATTGCTCTACCTCTCCCTACTTTTCTGCCAACCTTTGCCTTAGGTCCTGTAGGAAAATAGAACTACAGCTAGTGAATAAGTTAGGGTTGTGCCATAAGAGAGTAGAAAGCAGAACAATCAACCATTCGTTTTTACTTAAATCTTGCATCCAGTAGGTGACCCAAGCTGGAAGAGGAAGAAAAGATTTAATCCAAAGTCAAGTTCTAAATTTTGATTAATGCATAAGACTAGACACTTCCGTGTGTCAGCAACTTAGAGACTGGTAGTACTGTTTTAATATCTGAGAATCAGCAGAGAAACAAAAGGCAATTTCATCCAGGGATAAGGAAGATTAGCTTCAATGAAACTATTTTTAAAAAGCCTTTAGAGGCTTTATTTTAATATTGGATTCTTATTTATCATGAGTCATATTGGTACAACATAAACTGCATATAGTTATGAAAATAGGGAAATGGGTTGAAGATTGAATTAATAATCTTAAATTTGTCATAAAAATGCATTCCCAAGACATGTTAAATAGTTATTAGAGATAGGTCATAATTTTGCATGTCTCCTAGCCGACCTGTCTTTAGAAACTCTTATCAACAATTTTATCATAACCAAACCCATCTGCTGGTCATCACTTCCAAACTGTGGTCTTTATCCTAATGGATAAAACAACCTTATTTTTAAACCAATGATTCTTAGCTGCTCCCTTATTCTCATTTCAAATTTCTATTAATCACTGAGTCCTAACAATTATGCTTTCTGTCCATCCCCTAAATTGCTCCCTTCTTTCCCCTTCCCATGTCTAATTCCTTAATTTAGCTTTCTATCACCTTTTGTGTATACCAGCTTCCTAGCTGGTCTCTCCATTTTTGGTTTTTACTTATTATACTACATACACTTGCTATCCAAGAGAGTAAATGAATCACATAATGATTGTTTAAAATGCTCTCATGTGATGTTTGTTTTAAACCACACAGAAGCTTATATTTGACCTAAACAGGATAAGGACGACATGGATTACAAATTATTTAAGGATTTGGCCTTTGTCCACCTATCCATAATCTTTTCTCAATACTGAACTCACTATATATCTGAGCACCATATATAGAGCTATGAATAACCCTATATATCTGGTTATTTATCCATGCTGTTTTCCAAACCTGAAACACAATATTCATGACTCTTTTGTTAATCTGGATAACTCTACTAATTCTCCAAATTCAACTTCTACCTCATGCTATACATTACATCTTTAGACTTATCTATCCTACATAACTGCTAGTTTTTAAACTCCGGACCTACTTCTCATTTCCTCCATCCTGACTAGTTCTCAAAAGAAGCTAAATCCTGTTTCTTGTGGACAACCATAACCTAGGAACCACCTTGTGACTTAGAACTGCACTGCTCCTTGCATCTATCTGCTCCCTGAATGCCACCTACCAGCATATTGAGCTTCTGGGATGTCAACAACCATTTTGGAGCTAAAAGTTGATTTGACATCTTTGAACAGTAGTATAGATCACTAGTCCTACTCCTCTTCCCCAGGAACTATTGAATCAGTGTTTTCAGGGATCCGTTCTACCTGCACTGCCTTCCTCTCCCTCCACACACACTAATCTGGTGACTGTGCCTATGAGATGTGATAGCCCCTACCAAGGGACCTGCTTCAGAGAAGATTTGGGCAGAAATGTCAGCCAAGACGGTGTTTCAGCTTTTCTAGGAGAAGCAGAGACATAGTGCTGAGTTCTGTCACTGAACCAAGGCCCACCTCCTGGAAATATGCCAGAGAGAAGGGGCTCCTGGGGAAATTTGAAAGAGAGAATGACTAAGGTACCATTGGAAGAGCATTTTAAATAGAATTTGGAGCAACCAGGCAGAACAGAGAACTACTCTGAAGCTGTGTAGTCTGCTCTCCAGGATGTCAGTCAGTGAGGAACAAGGAATATGGTCATCTGAACATTCCAGAAAACTAGAAAAGAGCCACCAGGAATTAATATCTGGGCCACTTGGACAGTGCATGGGATGTGGGTCTTAGGATGTCTTTCCTGACCTCCCTATGTTCCAGAACTTGAGAAGATATGTATCGTATTCCCCTTCAGTATTGTGACAGACAGTTAGTGGGGACTCATCAGACCACATTGACTTTCTCCTGGGCACTCAGTTAAACGGCATTTTTTAGGTTCCCGTGCCATTAGTGGAGCCTGTGACAGGAGGCAGGCCATCAAACTTTCTGCCCTGAAACCTCTGGTGCCTTTGCTAGCTCCCTTTCCTGGCCTCCCTTCAGAAGGAAAACTATTCACTGGAACAGTAGGGATCCTAGAAGGGAATGGACCCACTAGATGGAAGCAGGCAGCCTGGTTATCTGAATGACTGAGTGGAGAAATAGCCCCTCATCATCACTGTCTCACATTAGACGGTGACTATGTAAGTAACACTTTTATTATGATAAGCCACTGAAGCTTGGGTGGTTATTTGCATAGCTGTTTGTATGTTCTTGGTACTAAGAGTTAATAGGAGTCAACAGGATTGTGGATAGTGCACCTATTGCCAATTAGTGGTACTAATTCCAGTTATAGACTATTACACACAATGGTGCTATGAATATTTTTGTACATTTAAAAATTGCCCACAAGCATACATCTTTGTTAAGAATATACTCAGAGGTAGAATTGCTGGTTCACATGCACCTTTGTTACATTAACATTGACATACAGCACATTCCCCTTTGCTCCACATTATTGGCAGCACTTATCTGTCTTTCTTTCCTTGATTAATCATGAAAAAGTGTAACTTAACTCATGTTCCTGGCTCTTTGACTATTTTCTTTTACCAGTTTTCCTAACAAGTCCATAGTATTTCTTGTCTTGGTATATCAGAGCAATCTGTATATTCTAATATAATTCATTTCTATATAGTACATGTTTCAAATGTTTTCACTTTTTTCCCACTTTTAAAAAAATACATGGCAGTTTTATTTTAATTTGAAGGGAAAAAGAAAGAAAACAAAAAGATATGTATGCCTGGAAGAATGGCCACTAATCATGATTTGAGGCCTGTTTTAGAACTATGAATGAGTTTATACTTATTATGTATTTACTGAATGCCAGGCACTATACTAAATAGTCCATACTTATCACTTTTAACCTTCATGAGAACCTACGAGGTAATTACTATTACTGTCTATAATTTACAAGTGAGAAATATGTTGTGTAAAGATTAAATAATGAAAAATATCATCCTGTCAGGATTCAAACCCATACAGTCTGAATCTGTGTTACTTGTTCACCTCATGCAAACAAAATAGACACCTTCCCTTCAAAGTACAGTTTCTCACAGAAAGACAAATACTGTATTATCCCACTTCTAAAAAGTATCCATAATTGTCTAGCTCATAGAAGCACAGAACATCATAGTGGTTGCCACTGTTATGAACTGCTATACAGCATAGTGGTTATGGTTAACAATACAGTATTGTGCACTTCACAATTTATTAACAGAGTAGATATCTTGTGTTTTTAACACATACATACACAATACAACATACACATACACAAAAGGAAAAGGGCACAAAAATACTTTGAGGAGCATTGGATATGGTTGTTTGTTTGTTTGTTGTTGTTTTGAGACAGAGTCTCTCTCTGTCGCCCAGGCTGGAGTGCAGTGGCTCGATCTCAGCTCACTGCAACCTCTGCCTCCTGGATTCAAGCAATTCTCCTGCCTCAGCTGCCTGAGTAGCTGGGATTACAGGTGTGTACCACTATGCCCGACTAATTTCTGTATTTTTAATAGAGACGGGGTTTCACCATGTTGGCCAGGCTGGTCTTGAACTCCTGATGTCAAATGATCTGCCTGCCTCACCCACCCAAAGTGCTGAGATTACAGGCATGAGCCACTGCGCCCAGCCGCACTGGATATGTTTATCTTGATTGTGATGATAGTGTCATTGGTATTTGCATATATTCAAAATCATCAAATTGTATATTTTAAATATGTAAAATTCTTTATATATCAATTTATACATCATTTTACCTTTACGAAGCTGTTTTTAATAAAAAAACAAATAGAGTTTAAATGTTCTTCCCATGCCTGAGGCCTTAGTGAAATGGTACTATTTTCAATTTGGGTTGAGTTATACAAAGGTAAATAATTGGAATTTCTTATTAGATATGATATGACTCCCTTTTTATTTTATGGCTGACAATAATTTGCAATTTTTCAGAAGCTCTCTGATCATTGAGACATTTCTGTGCCTCCTTGTGAAATTGCAACAAAAGCTAACGACACAGTGTTTACCTCTGTCAAAGGCTATTTCCCAGAAAAAGGAACCTAAGTCACATTGACTAAAATTCTAGAGCATAAAACCCAAGAACCCGGTAACTCATATTTTCTATTATGTGAGTCACTCATATGTTCCAATAAATATTTTGGTGTCTCTTATCTGGATTCACTTCTAAAGTCTATCCTCCTTCATTGTCACTTTCTCCTCAAGTGCTAATATTGAAAAGCAATTTTATCCCATGCTATCACCATTCAGATACTGAGGTTTAGCTGCTATCCTAAAATGTAGGAACATGCTGCAGCAGAAATTAAGAAGTCAGAAGCAAACTAGATTGACCTTGTTGAGATAACTGAGGTGTGCTTACTTTCTAAAACAAACATGCAATATCTAATTATCTTATTTAGTGTATTCTAAGAAAAAGCCCATGAAATAAGGGTGACCAAGCAATGCCAGCCGTGTCTAGGGAGGCCAAGAAATAGATCAGGAATCTTCTGACTGTAGCTTAACATATATTATTATACCTGATATAATAATAGTGATATTCCTAATCAACTTCCTCATGAGTGATAAGTAAATAAACTATCATTTTATATTCTGCAAACATAACTGCTAGGTCCAATGCAATTGCAGAAAATATTTGGAATAGTTATAACTTAATAAGAAAAGGGCAAGATAGTGCCCCATCCCATGAAGAACTGAGTCCAAAGATTTTAGATAGAACAAGCTGAAGCCTTCACCAGAAATTAATTTAAAATTTTTATAATGCAGAGACAATATAAGTGACCAGTGTTTTTCTATTTTATGACAGATTTGTACAGAAGTTTCCCATTGGGTTCCATGGGAAATAGACTGAGACAGAGATTGTCAGGCATTATGTTTATGTAAGTGTATTCTCAGTGACATTACCTATGTGGAAGTAAGTGAAACAGAACTGGCTAGAAGGAGACATTGAATTGTGCTACTTTCACAATAGAAGCCTCAGCTTATCTCCTGGAGAGCGATGGAGTTGGGATGGCCCTTCAGAGTCGTCCCAAATGGAGGAAATGTGGGAGGGCCTTCATACTTTCATGTAGCATCAACCAGGCATTGTATAAGTGCTGCAACCAGAAAGGAGGCAAAACAATGAGTGAGAAAATTTCCTTTCACCAAGGTCAAGGCAGTACAGTTCTTGCAGGTAACTCAGCTTTGGGCTTCAGTGAAAACATTTATACCAGCTAAGGAAATGAATGACTTGGCCCTGTAGAAGGTTGTCTAGGAAGTACACCCACAGTATTCATTACAAGAGATATGAGTTGTAAGCTCAATGGTTTCAAAGCAAACATTACCAATTACTCATTGCAGTCATTTAAACAAAAGTGTTATTGACACCAGTGAATCATCACATTTTAAACAATACATCTTCCTGATAAGGCCTCAGATATACACTAGTTATGGTTGTGATTGTAAGCAGCTGAATTCTTTGGCATGCTATATAGAATATCTGGAGTTGAGTCCATTGGTTTTTCAAGACATACCAGAAGTTAATGGTTTTGGTTTCAGTGGAATTTATATTGTCAATCTTTCTGGCAACAAGTAATTGTAGTGTTGGTTATTTGGTTTGGCTATCTCTGGTATTTAAGTATAAAACTATTGCATCAGCAGTGAGAACAAATTGCTTACATTTCTAGTCTCAATAGCTTTGATACATGCATTTAGTTTGTCTCATATCAAATTATCTAATGATTTGGTTCAAATAGCATGATTAAAAACAATCTATAAGATTAAGGATAAAAGCACATTTATGTTATATGTTATTCAGTGTATTACATTTTCTATATTCAGTTCAAACCAACACTGACCAACAATGTAGTAAAAAAAAACAGCTTTTATTAATATTTCTATCTGGACATCAGCAATGAATTTATGTAATACAACACTGAATATTCATATAATTCATAACCACTTCTGATTCACAAAGTAAAGTTTAATGCCATTCCTAAATGATGCCTCTACCAGGCTGAGAGAATAATAATGATTAGTTGTGGAATAGCCAGAGCTGAAACCCACCTGAGTTTCACGATGAATATTTATCTGAGAAACATGTAGTTATAATTTGTAATGGTAGAATATGATGGAAGAGAGAATGGTAGGTTTATAATTTTATTGACTGCCTTTTAAAAATCTGGGATTATAAAGAGTTATTCATCCAGGCAATCGATTTATAGATTATAATGTAAGGTGAATATTAAAGTATTTTGGTTCTAGAAAATCCTTAATTGGTCATTTTGAAGAATTACATATGAAAAATGACTTCAAACATCCAATCAGAAGAGTGTCTGGAAACTAAATTTTAGGGTAGTTGTTCTCATGGTAAAAAATATAAGAAAGGTAGAAGCTGCAGATATTAACTGTGATCTGGGATTCTACAGTGTTATTAGACCCATATCACAATTCAGAATTCTCCCTTGTTCCCAGATATGTTATCTGAAATGAGTTTGGGCCATGATGATTGATTTTCATTTACATTTTGGAGGGGATAAAATGATTAAAGTAGAATTTAAACTTAACCTAACAAAGTTTCTAAAAATTCTTTAGGACATGTTACCTCACCAAGATGGAGAATAATTTATTGTAGTTCATATTTTGTTTTATTCTTCTGTTCACAACTGTTTTTATCAAGCTATGAGCAGAAAAAGCTAGTCTTAGGTTTTTTTTTATTACAAAACTATTTCATTTTATCTACTGATGAAGCACTGTAAAGAGAAACTTTTTTTTTTCTTGAGAAAACTCAATACAGTTTCAATAGCTCTTAAATAGGATTCAAGTGGGACCATGCCTGGGATTTTTCTGTTAATAAGTTGATAGTAATAAAGAAGCTATTTAACCAGCTGCACAGACTAGGCCTCATATGGTTTTTAAATCTTATTAAAGCAGTCTAAGCTCTGTACTGGTCTTCAGCTTTGTAAAATTCAGAATAACAACTTTATCCATTTATTCAAAGACATTAGCTAATGCTTAAATTAACTAATTTATAAATTAGAAAATCAGTGTATTAGTTTATAATTTATATGTATACAGAAAAATAAATGTTATTTCTGATTTTTCTAAGTAGATTGGTTTATGAATAAATCTAAATTGCAAGACCTACAGGCATATTTCTTTTACAAAAAATGAGAGAGATGGTTATTACAATTTTTTGTTACAGGGTCTTATTCTGTTGCCCAGGCTGGAGTGCAGTGGTGGGATCATGGCTCACTGCAGCCTTGATATCCCCAGGCTCCAGTGATCTTCCTACCTCAGCTCCTCGAGTTGTTGGGACTATGGGTGTGTGCTGCCATGCCTAGCTAATTTTTGTATGTTTAGTAGAGATGGGTTTTTCCATGTGTTCTGGATTGCTTTCAAACTCCTGGGCTCAAAGGCTCTGTCTGCCTTGGCCTCCCAAAGTGCTAAGATTACAGGCATGAGCCATGACACCTAGCCTACTGGGCATATTTTTTATATTATTTCATCATCACCGTGTGCCAGATTACAGCCATGTTGCAAATCAACAATTTTTATTTATTTTTAAAACATTAAATACTGATATCTTTGGCAGCAGTTTGGAAAATACTTACAGTCCTTTGAGGAGCTGTGGTGATACCCTGCTCTTGTGTCCCCATCCATGGGCTTCTTCTACAGACATCTAATGTCATTCTATTTGTACTCAATCTTATTGAATTCAGCTTCACCAGGCAACATTTAGAAATAAATTAAATTTTGGAATTGTGTTGTATTTGGAACACAGTTCATTGTATAAATTAATACCCTACAATACCTCTACTGTACCAATATTTCATTGGTCTCATTAGGAAGCACCCAGAATATTTGTTACAAGTTTCATTTTATAGCATAAATTAAAAAAAACAGAGTGCTTTATCGCTTGTTTTTTTATTCCCTATGTTAATTTCCAAAAAAAATGCTCCTTCATTCTTTTAACCACACAGTACAATATGTCAACTAACTTCATATTCAAAGGAATTTTTCCTTATCTCCAAAAACATGTGGAAGAGAATAATGAACCACCATAAAAACAAGATAATTTTAATCAGAAAGTAATCCCCCTAATTCTAACTATTCTAAGTCACAGATATGTTTATTTAGATAATAAAAGTGACACTGAACTTTAAAAAAGTTAATTAAATAAATCATAAAGCTTATTGATCTCATATCACCCCCTTCAAATACCTATAAACATGAGGTGATAGCAGTAAATCTTTCCTGTATAACATTACAAACTTTGTATATAATAGACAGTGTCTATGACTCTAGTTTTTATAGTAAATACAGAATGATCACTCTCTATATGTCACATAAGATTTTTCCATTTAAACATGTATCTTTCATATTCTTTCAGATTAATATATATAAATCTACTTTACTTTTAAATAGTTATTTAGTGTTCTGTTGTATGGAAATAATATAACTATTTCTCTATGAATAAGCTCTTTCCCTATTTTTTACATTTTATAAATTATGCTGTAATGAAAACCATATTCATATATCTTAGTGCATTGTGCAAATTTATCTTTACAATGCATTTTTGCAAGATAAATTGTTGGAACTGTGAATATGAATGCAACCTGGAAAAGTTGGTTATTTGTCAGATCACCCTCCAAACAAGTTATTATTGCCTGCATTCCAACCACAGGCCTGTTCCCTCATACCTTCTTTATGATTTATTATTTTAAAGCTTATTTTTACCAATTTACTGGTAAAAAGTGGGGCAAAATGGATTTTGATGTATCACTAATGGATAAACCAATAGTACACGGAGCCAATACATCTTCCTCTCTCCCTTACTTCCTTTCTTTCTTCCTCACTTTTCTCCTTCCCTTTTTTTCACCATCAACTTTTAAAACTTACAGTTCGGCATATTACTTAATGGATATAATTCATGTTACTTGCTTTTTACTTTATAATTATAATTATAAAAGGTATTTATTTTAAAAAGTAAATAAATTAGCAGTTACAGGGTATGTGTTTATTAAATTCTCCTCTGAATTAACCTCACAAAAGGCTTGGAAGAGCAAAAATATTGCAGATATGTATTGGATAGTTATTTTGCCTTTTTGGGGTAGAGATTCCCAAATTGTCTCTCTTACATTGTCACCCTGTACATCACATTATATTTATGGATTTCACATTTTTGTCAGAGATTATCTGAAATAGGGAAAATTATTTCTGTATATAAAAAGGTAAAATTGTCCATGCCTTCTGTTTAAGGTGTATGTCTATTGGAGTAAGAGAGTGCTATTTTGTTTTTAAGACTGTTATTTTATCTCTGTGTGTGATTTGATGAAAAAAGGAACAGATAAGTTATAAAATCATGACAAATTGAGATTTGAACTTATTAATACTATACTCTGAAGTCTCAAGAGGTTTAATCAGGTTCTAACATTTTAAGTAATCTCTGGTCACGTTAAGTTACAAATTAATCTGGGCAGTTTATTGGCCTCATGGGTTTAATTTATTCAGTGTCACAACTTAAGAGTAAATACTTCTAAAATACAATTTGAATGCCTAATCAGATGTGATTATTTACATGATAGAAAAATACAGTCTAGCCACATGGCAGAAGCAATAGTAGGAAGTACAATAAATGCGTATATTGGGATTTAAAGGACATTCTTTTTCTCCAGAGCTGAAATAGTAGACAGGAATATAACATTTCTATATTGCTTGGTGGAATTTTAGAATTAATGGATTGTGCTTTCTCTAACTAAGAATGTAAGCCAGATAGATATTGAGCCATTCTCCTAAGCAATCATTCTTGGTTTAAATCTGTACTCACCTCAACAATTGACTAGTCATTAGTGAGACCACTAAATTCCTTAAATGAAAATGATGTCTGAATCCAATTCCTCTCAGTAAATAGGTTTGCATTGCCAAACCAACTCTGGGAAGCTTTACAAAAAGAGGTAATGTTGCAGGAACTTGCTCAGTTAAAAATACATTAAGAGCTACTACACAAGAAATACACTTATGCACAAACATACACATAAACTCTTGGATACACATAAACTCACACATACAGACACACAACTTACTTTTTAACAAATGTGTCAGTATTACGTCTTCTCAGTGTTGTAAGTTGTCATTGGATACTGGATATTTAGTATGGTTAAATTCACTGGGAAAATGCATTCTTGAAGTTGTAAAACTGAACTATTTAGAATAGGTTCATAGGCATTTCACTCAAAACCATAGATAGTTCTTTTTTCCACCTTGATCAACTTAATAAAGAAATGTAGCCTTTAAACAAAGTTATGGAGCAATATAAACAACCAAAGGGAGTTTTAACAAACCACATGCTGGTAGAGTATTTCAAAATATTGAACTTGAAAAGCAAATGGAACAACACATTGATTGAGGAGGAAGTAAAGACAAGTGCGAACAAGAGAACGGGGAGAGACCAGTGTTCAAAAACAAGTAGGGCACATCTTACAGAGAGAATCGAAGGAAGACTGAAAAGATAAACGTACAGAGAGGTTTTAAGGTGAAACTAAGGGAATGTTTATCGAATAATTTTACTTTAAAAGTATAAGGTGAGCTCAACAGCAGATAATAAAGTTTTGAGAAAAGCCACAGAAGCAAGAAAAACGCAAAAATAGATATGGTTTAACATATCTATATGTCTCTATATATCTATATATCTCTCAACAGAGAGGGCTTGAGAAAGTCACATAATCTCACTAAGTTTTAGTTTTCTTGCATGTACATTAAGAAGCTTATCTAAAACAGTGATTTCATGTTCTAGTCACAAGACTGGCACTGAATCTAACCCTTAGATTTCTCCTAGGCAGAACCCATTGGGTCAAACAACTTATATAAGTTTGTTTCAAATTCTAAAAGGCCAGTGTGTCTTAGGATAAATTCTAATCAAACATTACTAAATCAAAAAGCACCTCTATATTATATTGATAACAATATAATACAGAAAAAGTAATTTAAAAAACAAATAAAAATACAGTCTGGTTCACATTTTGGATACATTATCCTGATGAATGGTTCCACTGTCTACCCAATCACCAAGTCCACAAACCTGGCAATTATTCTAGTCTCTTTCCTTTCTCTCTTCTTCCCCTATTACCAACAAATAATCACATGCAATCAGTGACCACATCCTGATAATTTCACCCACTTACTTCTCAAATCTGCTTCGCCCCCAATCCACAAAGCTAATGACAAGTTCCTGCACCTATAGTCTCCCGCCTAGACTACCATAATTATCTTTCCCTGGTTTCCAATCTCACAATGTACTTCAACACTTCCCTGCTAGGAGAGAAATCTTTCTAATGTCAAATTTACTTCACAGACACAGTTTAAAATCTTCCATTATTCCCTATTATTAATAACTATGCCATCCAGTATGGTGATGACAAATCACATATGGCTATTGAGCACTATAAATGTGGCTAGTTCAAATTAAGATGATCTGTAAGTATAAAATACACATCACATTTGAAAGACTTAGTAGAATAAAAAAGTAAAATATCCCATTTTTTATTTTTATTATTAATTGATTTGTATATATTTTGGATATATTGGGTTAAATACTTTATTGTCAAAATTAACATAGCCATATTCACCTTAAGTAATCTCTCAGCAAGAGTGTTTTGAAAGCACCCAAAGCCATGACTCCCTAAGCCCACAGAATAGGTTGTCTGAGTATTTCGTTCCTGTTTGTTTATAAATTTATGTGCAGCAGAATTAGGTCAAAGAGGACACTTGTACGCTGACACATGTCAAGTTTTTAGGGACTACCTTGCTATCACCTACCTCCGGCTATTGGAGATCTACCAAAAGAGTAATTCAAAATAGCAATGGAGGTAGCAGATAAAGGGGCTGTGGAAGAGTATCAGAAAAGGCTCACAGAAAAGATGGTATATTGGATATAGTCGGTTAATACTTCATTATCAAAATAAATTGTGCCTGTTTCTTTTTATTTTATTTAAATGTTCCTACCAGAAAATTAAACATTGCCTATGTGGCTTGCATAATATTTTAATTTGACAGTGCATTTCTATAAGACTAGCAACATATTTTGAGAGGCAAAAATAAAATTCAAAGTATGGTAACCTTTGTACAAAAAGTAGAAAACGTGCTGTTAAAGGTACTAACTTTTTTTTTCTCCCATATTCTCTCTCTCAGTCTGTCATGGTGTTTCTTATTTGCTATTTAATGTAGCATTTTCTTTGACATGTGCATGTGTTGTGCAAGTGCACTGGTGGGCAAGAGAGGACAATTGAAGACCCCTGTAGAAGCCCCCGTGACTCGACTTGGGTGCGACCCACCAGCTGCTGGATTAGCACTCCTCACTCTAGTGATTGCACACTCATGAAGCTGGTTATGTTTTCTAGGAAAATGTTTATCAAACTGCGTGTTTTGCTCTATTGGTGTCCAAGAAATAAACTCATTGGTTCAACGTCAGCATTTCAACAAAATAAAATAGAACGTATAAAAGAAAACAGTAGCAAACACAGTAATAGAGTACATATTAATCAGCGAGTTATAAATATTTTTGTAACATTCATATTTCCATTGTGTTTCTGTCAGGTCATATAATAAAAAAATGTGTTTTCTGTGAGTTGTGCTCAAAAAAGTTTAAAAAATACTGAATTATACCACATAAGCCCCTTTAAAATCCTACCTCTCCCTGCACCATTATATTAAAATTCTTAAATTTCAGCCACAGTTTAGTTTCCTGGAGAAACCATATTCTCTAAGCCAGTCTCCATAATATTACCTTTGCTGAATTTGTTCCTCATCAGTCCTAGTCAACATGGCAAAGTCTTACTAGCTTTGCAATACTGAGTTAAGGCACCATCTCCTTTGTGAGCCTTTTCTGATACTCTTTCCACAGCCCCTTTATCTTTTACCTTCCATTGCTATTTTGAACTACCCTTCTGGTAAATCTCCAATAGCTGGAGATAGGTGATAGCAAGGTAGTTTCTAAAAACTTGAAAGTGTCAGCATATAAGTGACCTCTTTGATCTAATTCTGCTGCACATAAAATTATTAGCAAGCAGGAATCAAACACTCAGACAACCTATTCTGAGGGCTTAGGGAGTCATGGCTTTGGGTGTTTTCAAAACACTTTCGCTGAGAGATTACTTAGGGCAAATATGGTTACATTCATATTCTTAGGGGCAAGTTTTGGAAACCAAAATCCTTTGTACTATATTCTTTAACAAAGACCCAGAAACTGATAATCAAGTATATTGGACACATGCAAGTCTAATCAGATTTGAATGACCATTAATGCTGGGGGGAAAGGGAGGGTGTCTGAAAGATATTTTAGTCAGTCACCACATATTTAATATTTCCAGCATTTTCTAAGACAGCCAGTTTCAAACATACACTAGCTAATAAGTAATTAATTTTACCAATAAAAAGCTAATTATATTTATGAAAGATAGCAAAGTCACTAGTGTAGATCAAGGTAAGGATAGCTGAGCTCATGGCAGCTGTCTATAAAGAACGGTCTATAAGGAGTCTTCCTGGAAAAATTAACCTGGACTGTGAATTTTTTATTATATCAATCATCCTTAAACAGTAAATTAAACTATTATATACATGATTTCATAATCTCTTTGTCTAATCTATTTTAGGATTAATTTCATACATAAAAAACTCTAAAGAATAGTTATAGGCAATGTGGCTAGACTGTTAGTCAATCATGATATATCTTAAAAGTTAATTTAGGTCACAGTTACACTAGCACCAATAGGTATGAATGTCCAAAAACAGGGAAGAATTCTGTTAATTAGTATTAATATTCTTTAATTAATTAATTAATATATTAATTAGGTTAATTAATATATTAACCTCCAATAATATATGATTTAAAGATGACAATAAATTATTTTTTGAAATTTCCTGAGACTTTTAAAACCTGTGATCTACCTTCCAGAAAATTAAATTGTTGATCTTCTATTATCCCAAAGCATTATGATTATTCCATAATTGGCACTTATTGTAAATTGAACACATGGTTAAAATGGGATATTTTTGTTATCACTTTTGAATACATTTTCAATAGTATATATGGTGTAAAAGCAAGGTTAATGTGAGGTGAATATCTTCCTTCTATGTGAAAAGTTACAAAGTTTTCCAGAGCTTCTCTCATGCCTCATTGACCAAAGAATAACAAAACAGATATAAGAAGGAATCAGTGACTAAGAGAAAGAAGAGTGATTTGTGAAAAAATTTATTTGGAGAAGGTTATTTCTCTAAAAAAAGGCCTCACTAATGCATGTAGGGTTGGTCGTCACATGCTCTGTTCAATAGGGTTATGGTCTTGATGGTGCAGGAGGAAAGGAAACAATGAAAACTCAGCAGAAGAGTCTGAAAGTAGAGCTCTCAATGCCCAGGAGCTGGAGCTGTGGCAAGAACTTCAAAAGACCCCCCAAGGTAGACATGTTTCTGACTGGGTCAAAGGAATTGTTGAAGAAAAACAAACCCAGCAAGAAACTTTCCAAGAGCACAGAAACATCTCGTGATGGTTGACTTGTCCTACCAGCCGAGAACTTGCAGAGGGGCTTTTTAAAATATCTGCATGTTCTGGGAGCATGAAAGTAATCATTCACATAAAAATTGTCCTATCTCTTAATTTCTCCGTAGTTCCACAGTTTTGAGCCCCCAGTGAGGTAACAACAACAGTAAGAAACAAGGTTAGGAGGAGGGAGTAGAGAGAATCTCTTATCTCTTTTATAATTAAGATAAACACAGGTACAATGCAACAAGAGACAAGATATACCACTCTTCAGTCTGATAGAAATCATTCAGAAGACCCATGTACTATCATACGTGTTTATTTTGGTTCATTTTGTTTCCATGATTATACATATAACCATACCCATCATTAAAAATCTTATGTGGTTGGAGAAAGGGAGAAAAAGAAATAACTGAAATTACCTAGTGCTTTTCAATATCTCTATCACATTACACAAACATACCCACACATACCCTAAGAAGGTCTTAGCCTCCACCTATATTATGATCACTGCCAGTAATGAATTGTTGTGACATACAAAATGATCCTGCCAGGTTGATGTTTTCTCCTTAAGAGAAATACATTGGCAATGCTTTGTTTCTAGAAGGGTCAGGCAATGCAAAGATAATTTGTGTAACAATAAAAAGACAAAACAAAATGAAAAACTCTTTAGGCTCCCTGCTTCCAAGGAAGCATTAAATAACAAATAGAAATGGGAAGCAAATAAGGACTGATTTCAGTCATGTTTATATACATATTAAAAGATGGGTGAAAGTGGGTTTATTACTGGAAAACAGCAAGACATTTATATCAAATATATTCCTGATGGCTCATAAAAGCCTTTAATGGCACTGGAATCATTTCTGAAATTATCTGCTTTTCAATTTTAGACCATAATTATCTCACTGGTATCTCATTTTATCCAAACAATAGAAATGGCCAGATACAAAAACTTGCTAATTATCTACTCTTTGTCTTATGTGAATGTAATCAGTAGATTCAGCCATATCTTTGAGGGTAATAAATTTATATTTATATCAGTGAATAAAAACAAGTTTATCCCATTGTAACTGATACTTATTTTTTAATTGTCTACACAAGAAAAATTTCAAGGCATCATAATTGCTCGGTATTGTTAGGGCCTTGTATATTTAGTAACTCACAGTGATTCAAGTTTTTTTTTTCAATTTTGTCACTATTCCCAGCTCATATTTTTAAATAACACACATAACTGTATTTCTAGCTAAACATGGTGGCAATCTTCTCTTCTTCCAGAGACCCCAATACAATATTTGTAAATTAAAAAAAAATAGCAAATGAAAATTTCCAATTATATTTGTAAGATGAAGTATTGGTAGAAATGTGCCATCTCTCTAATTAGTATGTTGAAGTTACAACCCAATACTCGGAAAAGAGATGATTTACCTATAAAGCTACAAAGGTAACAAGTGGGATCAAGTTCAAGAGTGAACAACAGCAACAAAAATAGTTTGTTTAAAGTCTACATATGAATGGGGTCCTGACTGCCTTTATGCCAACTGGGACAGGCAAGCTGAGAATACCAGAGGCTACCATTCCTATCTAGCTCCATGTTCCTAAAGCAAGTGTGTCACCCTGAAAGAAGCAGGTCAATGTCCCACCTCTGGAATAGTGACTAAGAGATTTTGCCCAAAGGTGAAAGCAAGCCTAAGAACATAGAGCTCTGACATTCTTTCCAAAGACACTAACTTTATTTGGGATAAAATATGAGGCAGTGCAATACTAAAAACCAATGAAGATTTCTATCATAAGCAATTAAAATGTGACTAGTTGACTCCATGAGAGCAGAAAAATAAATCAGTTGACTGGTTTAGTAGAGAAAACCAGTAGATTAGTGTATTATGATGATCTTACATTGCTATAAAGAAATACTTGAGACTGAGTAATCTGTTTTAAAAAAGAGGTTTAATTGGCTCACAGTTCTGCAGGCTGTACAACAAACATAACATCATATACTTCTAGGGAGACCTCAGAAGGCTTACAAGCATGGCCAAAGGCAAAGTAAGATCAGGCACGTCACATGGTGAAAGTGGAGCACAGGGATGCAAGGGAAGTGTCACACATTTTTAAACAACCTAGTATTGTGGGAACTCAGAGCAACAGCTCACTTATTACCAAAGGGGTGGTCCAAGCCATTTATGAAGGATCTGCCCCTACGATCCAAAAACTTCCCTGTAGTCTTTTCTTTCAACATTGGGGATTTACATATCAACATGAGAATTGGGTGAAGACAAATATCCAAATGATATAATCCACACTTAGCCCCTCCCAAATCTCATGTACTTCTCACATTGCAAAATACAACCATACTTTCCCAACAGTCCCCCAAAGTCATAACACATTCCAGGTTAACTCCAAAGTCCCAAGTCCATAGTCTCATCTGGAGGTGAGTTTCTTTTATCTATAAGCCTATGAAATCAAAACAAGTTATTTACTTCCAAGATACAATTGGGGTATAGGTATTGGGTAAACATTCCTGTTCTAAAAAGGACAAATTGGCCAGAAGAAAGGGGCTACAGCCTCCATGCAAGTTTAAAGCCCAGCAGGGCAGTCATTAAATGTTAAAGCCCCATAATAGTCTCATTTGTGTCCATGTCATGCTTTCAGGACATACTAGTGCAAAAAGAGTGGGCTTTCAAGGCCTTCGGCAGCTCTGCCCCTGTGGTTTTGTAGTTTTGTCTCCCACAGCTTCTGTCACATGTCGAAGTTGAATGCCTGTGGCATTTCCAGACACAGGGTGCAAACTGCTGATAAATCTACCACTCTGGGGTCTGGAGGATGGTGGCCTCCTTTCCACAGCCCCACTAAGCGTGCCCAGGTGTAGGGCCTCCAACCCTACATTTCTCCTCTAGTAGAAGCTTTCTGTGAGGACTCCACCCCTGCATCAAGCTTCAGCATGGGCATGCAACCTTTCTTATACATCCTGTAAAATCTACGTAGAGGCCAAGCCTCCTTCACTCCTGCAATCTTTGTACCCACAAGCTCAATATTACATGGAAGTTGTCGAAGATTATGGCTTCCATTCTCCAGAGTGGCAGCTCTAGCTGTACCTGGGCTCCTTTGAGTACCTGTTGGAGCTAGAGTGGCAGGGTGTGGGAAGCAGTGTCCTGAGGCTGTGCAAGGCAGTGGAGCCCTGAGGCCTGGCCCACAAAGCCATTCTTTCCTCCCATGCCTCTGGGCCTATGGTGAGAGTTTGCCACAAAGGTCCCTGATATGCCCTTGAGGCTATTTTCAAATTAGCTGAGCTGTTAGCACTTAGCTCTCTTTTGGTTAAGCAAATCTCTCCAGCAAGTGGTTGCTCCACAGCCTGCTTGAATTCCTCACCCAAAAAAGCTTTTTGTCTCTCTGCCACATGGCCAAAGTGTGAAATTTCCAAACTTTTATGGTCTGCTTCCCTTTTAAATATAAGTTCCAACTTTAGATCATTTCTTTGCCCACGTGTATGAGCATATGCTGTTAGAAGCAGCCATTCAACATATTGAACACTTTGATGTTTAGAAATGTCTTCCACCAGATACCCTAGGTCATCACTCTCAAGCTCAAACTTCCACAGACTCTTAGGGCATAAACAGAATGCAGCCAAGTTATTTACTAAGGTATAATATGCATGACCTTTGCTCTAGTTCTCAACAGGTTCTTCATTTCCTTTTAAGACCTTGGCAGCCTGGAATTCACTGCCCACATCACTATCAGAATTTTGATACAACCATTTAACCAGATTCTAAAAAGTTCAAAATTTTCCCTCATCTTCTGCCTTCCTCAGAGCCCTGCAAACTCTTCCAACCTGTTACCCAATGTCAAAATCTCTTTCACAGCATCAAGTATCTTTATAGCAATACCCCACATACAGCATAAATTTTCTGTTCCTGCATTGATATAATGAAATGACTGAGACTGAGTAATTTATAAAGAAGAAAGATTTAATTGGCTCACAGTTCTGTAGGCTGTAAAGGAAGCATAGTGACATCTGCTTCTTAGGAGGCTTCAAGAGGCTTATGATCATAATAGAAAGTGAAGTGGGAGCAGGCTACATCACATGGCAAAAGCAGAAACAAGGAGGCAGGGGTGCCACACATTTTTAAATGACCAGATCTTATGTGAACTCAGAACGAGAACCCACTTATCACCAAGGCGATGGCCCAAGCTATTCATGAGGCCACTGCCCCCATAATCCAAACACCTCCCATCAGGTCCTGCATTCAACATTGGGAGTAACATTTCAACATAATATCTGGGCAGAGACAAATATCCAAACCATATTAAACTAATAGCTAAAAAAGATCCTTTTGGAGTCAGAATAAACCTCAAATTTGGCCTCAAAAATGACTCCTGCCATGGAACCCATATTTAATTAAATCAAACTGTGGAGCAATGTGTATCCCAGGGCATTGTCAACACAATAAAGCAAACAGTGACAATCAGTGAAGCCTGACAATGGAGTGTGATTAAAACAGAGGCAGATAGTTTAATAGAGATATAATAGAAAGGGACAGTTAAAGAGAGCCTTGCTAAAACTACTATCTTCCCAGTATAACTGCATGCATACATAAGGATTTGTACTCTGGGGAATGACATCAAAGAATTCATACTGTGAGAAAGGTAGATTACAGAATTGACTAAAGTAGTTAAGGTAAATCAATACACAAGACCAATGATAACAACAAGTCTGAGGGTGGGTACAGGTCAATATTCAGAGTGGCTAAAATATATTATCTAAAATGTATAATTTTTCAATGAAATTTATAACACATGCAAAGAAGCAGAAAAGTGATCTATGTACAGAAAAAAGAGAATAATAAAAAATGTTTGCAAAATAATACAGATGTTGTATTTGCAGGCAGATAATTCAAAGCAACTATTCTAATATTTTATGCTTGAGAACCAAAATAAAATATGCTTAAAGAAGTAAAGGAAAATATAATGACAATGTCTCATTAAAAAGAAAATTAGTCAAGAGGTTGAAATTATTAAAAAGAATCGTGGAAATTCTGAAATTAAAAAATAGAATAATTGAAACAGAAAATTTACTAGTGGGGTTCAAGAGTAGATTTGAAATAGCAAAAGGGAAAATCAGTGAGATTGAAGATAGGTAGAGGTTGTGTAATCTGAAGAGCAGAGAGAAAAATGAATGACAAAATAAGCACAGATTCAAAGAATTGTGGGACATCACTAAGTGCACCAACATACATGTAATGGAAGAAGAGAGAAAGAAAATAATAGAAAAATATCCAAAAAAAAATGGCCGAATGGCAGAAACTTCCCCAAATATATTGAAAAACAATTATCTGCACATCTAAGAAGCTCAACAAACTCCAGTTGGGATAAATACAAAGAGATCTACACACGGACACATTATAGTAAAAATAATAAAAGCCAAAGATAAAGAGAAAATCTTAAAGGGAAAAAGAAGAAAACTACTTGTAATCTACAATGAAAACACAATATGATTAATAACTTACTCCCTGGCTTCAATCTTTTGATTTAATTTCTTTTTTTGATTGCCATTCTTTTTAAAATTTTATTTTTTTTTATTTGTTAACTTCAGTAGGTTTTGGGGGAACAGGTGGTGTTTGTTTACATGAATAATATCTTTAGTGATGATTTCTGACATTTTGATGCACCCATCACCTGAGCAGTATACACTGTACCCAATGTGTATTCTTTTATCTCTTGCTACCCCCTCCCTTTCCACAAAGTCGTCAAAGCCCAATGTATCATTGTTATGTCTTTGCATCCTCATAGCTTAGCTCCCACATGTAAGTGAGAACATATGATGTTCGGTTTTTCATTCCTGAGTTGTTTCACTTAGAATAATAGTTTCCAGTTCTATCCAGGATGCTGCAAACCATCATTTCATTCCTTTTTATGGCTGAGAAGTGTTCCATGGTATGTGTGTATTTATGTGTATATATCTATAAAATATATATTTTATATATATATATATATAGTCATTTATGCATGTGTTGATTCATGGGCATTTAGGCTTGCAATTGCAAATTGTGCTGCTGTAAACATGTGTGTGCAAGTATCTTATTCTTATAATGACTTTCTTCTGGATAGATACCTAGAAGTGGGATTGCTGGACAAATGGTAGGTCCACTTTTAGTTCTTTAAGGAATCTTCACACTATTTGCCATAGTGGTTGTTCTAGCTTGCATTCCCATCAACAGCGTAGAAGTGTTCCCTTTTCACTGCATAATCCACACCAACATCTATTTTTTTTATTTTTTTTGATTATGGTCATTCTTGCAGGGATGAGGTGGTATAGCATTGCTGTTTTAATTTTCATTTTTCTGATAATTAGTGATATTTAGCATTTTTCCATATTCTTGTTGGCCATTTGTATTTCTTCTTTTGAGAATTGTCTATTCATGTCCTTAGCCCACTTTTTAATGGGATTGTTTTTTTCTTGTGAGTTGTTAGTGTTCTTCATAGATGCTGGATACTAATCCTTTGTCAGATGTATAAATTGTGAAGATTTTCTCCCACTCTGGGTTGTCTGATTACTCTTCTGATTATTTCATTTGCTGTGCAGAAGCTTTTTAGTGTAATTAAGTTCCATCTATTTATCTTTGTTTTTGTTGCATTTGCTTTTGGGTTCTTGGTCATGAAGTCTTTGACTAAGCCGATGTCTAGAAGGGTTTTTATGATGTTATCTTCTAGAATCTTTATGGTTTCAGGTCTTATATTTCAGTTCTTGATCTATCTAGGGTTGATTTTTGTATAAGGTGAGAGATGAGGATCTAGTTTCATTCTTCTACATGTGGCTTGCCAATTATCCCAACACCATTTGTTAAATACAATGTCCTTTCCCCACTTTAAGTTTTTGTTTGCTTTGTTGAAGATCAGTGGCTATAAGTATTTGGCTTTATTTCTGGGTTTTCTATTCTGTTCCATTGGTCTTTGTGCCTATTTTTACAGCAGCACCATGCTGTTTTGGTGACTATGGCCTTATAGTATAGTTTCAAGCTGGGTAATGTGATGCTTCTAGATTTGTTCTTTTTTGCTCTGTCTTGCTTTCACTACGTAAGCTCTTTTTTATTGCTTATTAATTTTAGGATTGTTTTATGCAGCTGTTGTAAAATGGATTGAGTTTTTGATTTGATTGTAAGCTTGGTCATTGTTGGTGCTTAGCAGTGCTACTGATTTGTGTACACTGATTTTTGTATTTTGAAATGTTACTGAATTCATTTGTCAGATCTAATAGCTTTTTGGATGAGTTTTTAGGGTTTTCTAGGTATACAATCATATCATCAGCAAATAGTGACAGTTTGACTTCCTCTTTACCAATTTGAATGCCTTTATTTCTTTCTCTTGTCTGATTGCTCTGGGTAGGGCTTCCAATACTATGTTGAATAGAAGTGGTGAAGGTAGGCGTCCTTGTCTTGTTCCAGTTCTCATGGGGAATGCTTTCAACTTTTCCCCAATCAGTATAATGTTGGCTGAGTGTTTGTCATAGACGGCTTTTATTACCTTAAGGTATGCCCCTTCTATGCCGATTTTGCTGAGGGTTTTAATAATAAAGCGATGCTGGATTTTGTCAAACGTTTTTTCTGCATCTATTGAGAAGATCATGTGTTTTCTGCTTTTAATTATGTTTATGTGGTGTGTCATATTTATTGACTTACATATGTTAAACTATCCCTGCATCCCTGGTATGAAACCCACTTGATCATGGTGTATTATCTTTTTGATATGCTGTTGGATTCGATTTGCTAGTATTTTGGTCAGGATTTTTGCATCTATATTCATTAGCAATATTGGTCTGTAGTTTTCTTTTTTTCTTATGTCCGTCCCTGTTTTTAGCATGAAGGCGATACTGGCTTCATAGAATGGTTTAGGGGGGATTCCCTCTTTCCCTATCTTGTGGAATAGTGTCAATAGAATTGGTACCAATTCTTCTTTGAACATCTGAGAGAATTCAGCTGTCATTCCATCTGGTCCTGGACTTTTTTTGTTGGCAATTTTTTATTACCTTTTCAATCTTCCTGCTTGTTATTGGTCTGTTCAGGGATTCTATGTCTTCCTGGTTTAATCTAGGAAGTTTGTATGTTTCCAGAAATTTATCCATCTCCTCTAGGTTTTCTAGTTTATACACATAAAGGTTTTCATAGTAGCCTTGAATAATCTTTTGTATTTCTGTGGTATCAGTTGTAATATCTACAGTTTTATTTGCGTTTATTTGGATCTTCTCTCTTCTTGGTTAATCTCACTAATGGTCTATCAATTTTATTTATAATTGATCATTTTATTTATCTTTTCAAAGAACTAGGTTTTGTTTCATTTATCTTTTGTATTTTTTGTTGTTATTGTTGTTTTAATTTCATTTAGTTCTGCTCTGGCCTTCATTATTTCTTTTCATCTGCTAGATTTGGGTTCGGATTGTTCTTGTTTCTTTGGTTCTGTAAGGTGTAACCTTAGATTGTCAATTTGTGCTCTTTCAGACTTATTGATGTAGACATTTAATGCGATAAACTTTCCTCTTAGCAGCATTTTTGCTGTATCCCAGAAGTTTTCATAGATTGTGTCACTACTATTATTCAGTTCCAATAATTTTTTATTTTCCTTCTTGATTTCACTGTTGACCCAACAATCGTTCTGGAGCAGGTTATTTAATTTCCATATATTTGTATGGTTTTGGGGGATCATTTTAGAGTTGATTTTCATTTTTATTTCACTGTGGTCTGAGAGAGTACTTGATATAATTTTGATTTTCTTAATGTTACTGAGACTTGTTTTGTGGCCTATCATATGGTTTATCTTAGAGAGTCTTCCATGTGCTGATGAAAAGAATGTATATTCTGCAGTTGTTGGGTAGAATGTTCTGTAAATATCTGTTAAGTTCATTTGTCCTATGGTGTAATTTAAGTTCATTGTTTCTTTGTTGACTTTTTGTCTTTATGACCCATCTAGTACTCTCAGTGGAGTAAAGTCCCCCACTAATAGTGTGTTGTCATCTTTCTCATTTCTTAATATATATTTAGAATTGTGATAGTTTCCTCTTGGGCTAGTGCTTTTATCATTATATAACGTCCCTCTTTGTCTTTTCAAATTGCTGTTGCTTTGAAATTTGTTTTGTCTGATATGAGAATACCTACTCCTGCTGGCTTTTGGTGTCCATTTGTATTGAATATTTTTTTCCACCCTGTTATCTTTAGTTTATGTGCATCCTCATGTGTTTGGTGAGTCTCCTAAAGGTAGCAGATATTTGGTTGGTGAATTCTTATCCACTCTGCCATTCTGTATCTTTTAAGTCGAGCACTTAGGGCATTTACATTCTATGTTAGTACTGAGATGTGAGGTACTATTCTATTTGTCATGCTATTTGTTGCCTGAATACCTTTTTTTTCATTGTGTTATTGTTATATAGGTTCTGTGAGATTTATGCTTTAAGGAGGTTATATTTTGGTATATTTCAAGGATTTGTTTCAAGATTTATAGCTCCTTTTAGCAGTTCTTGTGTTGTTGGCTTGGTAGTGGCAAATTCTCTCAGGATTTGTTTGTCTGGAAAAGACTGTATCTTTCCTTCATTTCTGAAGCTCCATTTTGCTGGATACAAAATTCTTGGCTGATAATTGTTTTGTTTAAGGAGGCTAAAAATAGGATCCCAATTCCTTCTAGCTTGCAGGGTTTTGGCTAAGAAATCTGCTGTTAATCTGGTAAGTTTTCCTTTTAGAGGTTACCTGATGCTTTTGCCTCACAGCTCTTTACATTATTTTCTTCATCTTGACTTTAGATAATATGATGACTATGTGCCTAGGAAAGATCTTTTTGCAATAAATTTCCCAGGTGTTCTTTGAGCCTTTTGTATTTGGACATCTAGGTCTCTAGCAAAACCAGGGAAGTTTTCCTCAATTATCTCCTCTAATACGTTTTCCAAACTTAGATTTCTATTCTTCTTTGGGAACATCAATTATTGTTAGGTTTGAATGTTTGCTGTAGTCTTAAATTTCTCTGAGGCTTTATTCATTTTTTAAAATTCTTTTTTCTTTGTATTTGACAGATTGGGTTAATTGAAAAGCCTTGTCTTCATCTTCGAGGTCTGAAGATCTTTCTTTTTCTTGTTTGATTCTATTGTTGAGACTTTCCAGTGCATTTTGTGTTTCTCTACGTGTGTCTTTGATTTCCAGAAGTTGTGAATTTTTTTTTATTTGTGATCTCTATTTCATTGATTTTTAAAAATATCCTGTATCATGTTTTTAATTTATTAAAGTTGCACTTCACCTTTCTCTAGTGCCACCATGATTAGCTTAATTTGACCTTCTGAATTCTTTTTCTGACAATTCAGAGATTTCTTCTTGCTTGGATCCATTGCTGGTGAGCTGATATGGTATTTTGGGGGTTTTAAAGAGCCTTGTTTTGTTATATTACCAGAATTGTTTTTCTGGTTCCTTCTCATTTGGGTAGACTATGTCAGAGGGAAGATTTGGGATTCAGGGCCTCCTGTTCAGATTCTTTTGTCCCGCAGGTTGCTCCTTTGATGTGTTCTCCCTCTTTCCCTAGGAAAGGGACTTTCCAAGAGCCAAACTGTAGTGATTGTTTGTGCTTTTCTGTGTCTAACCACCCAGTGGAGCTACTGGGCTCTGGGCTGGTACTGGGGAGTATCTGCAGAGTCCTGTGATGTGATCCATCTTCAAGTCTTGCAGCTGTGGATACCAGCATCTGCTCCAGTGGAGGCAGTAGGTGAGTGAAGTGGACTCTGTGAGGGTCCTCGTTAGTGTTTTTGTTTAGTGCACTGGTTTTATGTTAGTTGGCCTCCAGCTAGGAGGTGGCATTTTCAAGAGTGCATCAGCTGCAGTCCTATAGGGAGGATGCAAACTTATCCGAGAGACACCTGGTTAAGTATTCAGGTTTCTCAGGGTGTGGGCAGGGCCACAGAACTCCCAAAAGATTATGACCTTTGTCTGTGGCTACCAGGGTGGGTAGAGAAAGACATCATGTTGGGGGCAGAGCTTAGCCTTTCCTTAGCCTTAGCCTTTCCACAGTGGGGTTTGCTGTGGCTGCTGTGGGGGATTGGGTTGTGGATCCCAGTCCAATCATGTTATATTCCCAGGGGAATGATGGCTGCCTCTGCTGAGTCATACAGGTCACCAGGGAAGTAGGGGAAAGTTGGCAGTCACAGGCCTCACCTGTTCCCATGCAGCCTGAAGTCCTAAAGGCCAGCCTCACTCCCACCATGCCCCGCAATAGCACCAAGTCTATTTCCAGGCAGCTTGTGACCAAGGCTTATAAATTACCTGAGACCATGAGCCTCACATTGAGGAAGCAAGCAGACTCACACTTTTTTGGCATCGCTGGGAGCCTGCAGTGGTGATCCATTTCCATCAAAGTGTTTGTGGATTCTCTCAGCTTTCCTAGTATGTTCTTACAATAGTTCTTGGAGCAAAAGTTTATGAAGTGTGTCTCCACATGCTGCTCTGTCCCTTTTGACTTAATTTGTATTTATACTTACTGTTGGTGATATTAAATCTCAATATTTTAAATACTATTTATAATCTGATGGCTTAGAAATATGTATTCTTGGGCTGGATTATCTGCTGAAATGTAGATTCAGAATCTATCTCTCTAGTTGAATTATCCATCTTGATATCTAGATATCTCTAAACCTACTTCATGTGTATTTCTCAGTTCAGAGGTGGGGCTTGAGTAGTGGCTCTTAAAAATTAGGTTTCAGGATGAAGAGATACCATGTGCCATGAAGATAACATCAATTTTGGTAATATTGTCATCAAAATGCTAAATTCCAAGGGTATCCTAGTATGAGAGTGGAGAATCTGCAAACACAATGGATTTTCCACAGACTCATAGACTCTTGCATGTAGACCTCCACTAACTCCAGTGAAATCAATGGAAAAAATAAAAGAATAATAGCAACAAAAAATAAATACCATAGGTATTTATGAAAAATATTGGCCGGGCGCGGTGGCTTATGCCTGTAATCCCAGTCCTTTGGGAGGCCGAGGCGGTTGGATCATGAGGTCAGGAGATCAAACCATCCTGGCTAACATGATGAAACCTCATCTCTACCAAAAATACAAAAAATTAGCCGGGTGCGGTGGCGGGCACCTGTAGTCCCAGCTACTTGGGAGGCTGAGGCAGGAGAATGGCATGAACCTGGGAGGCAGAGCTTGCAGTGAGCCGAGATAGCACCACTGCACCCCGGCCTGGGTGAAAGAGCGAGACTCCATCTCAAAAAAAAAAAGAAAAAAAAAAAGAAAAATATTAAGTTAGAGCTGTGATAAGGGTAAGACCTTCTGCAGGTATTGCTGACATAAAAGAAAAATAGGAAAATATAGCATAGAAAACATAAAATACTTGAACATAAATTTAACAACAAAGAATTATATGTCAAAATATGCAAAATGCTTATGAGAAGAATCAAAAAGAAAATCATACATAAATTGAGAGACCCACCATCCCATGGACTAAAAGTCTCAATATTGTTAAAATATCAGTTATTCCCTAATTTATTAATCAACTTTAATCAATTTCAATAAAACTTTCACAAGGATTTTTTGTTTTGTTTTTATACAAATCCAACTGATTCTAAAAATTATATGAAAAGGCAGAGAAACTAGATTTGTCAATGCAAATAGATAGAATAAATTTGGAGGAGTCTCATTACCTGATTTCTAGCCTTGTCATAAGCTACTAATGAAGATAATGTAATATTGACAAAAGGAAAGGCACAAGAATCAATGCAACATATATCATGGTATATAGATATGTATATACATATAGTCAACTGGTTCACAAAAAATTGGGAAGTGATTTCAATGGAGAAAGTATAGACTTTTCAACAAATTGTTTTAGAACACCTTAATATCATATGAAAAAAAAAAACCTTTGGCAAATTTCCTGCATTATTCAAAAATAGCTCAAAATTGATTATAAACCTAAGTATAAAAATAAAACTATAAATATTTTATAAGAAAAAGTAGAAAAAAAAATCTTATTTTTGTGACTTTGGCTTAGGTAAAAATTTCTTAGATACAACTCAGAAAGCACATCTGAAAAAAAGAAAGGATAAGTTGTGTGATATGGTTTCTCTGTGTTTGCACCTAAATCTCATCTTGAATTCCCACATGTTGTGGGAGGGACCTGGTGGAAGGCCATTGAATCAATGGGGTCAGTCTTTCCCGTGCTGTTCTGCTGATAGTGAATAAGCCTCACGAAATCTGATGGTTTTATAAGGGGGAGTTTCCTTGCACAAACTCTCTTTCTTCGCCTGCTGCCATCCATGTAAGACGTGACTTGCTCCTCCTTGGCTTCCACCATGATTGCGAGGCCTTCCCAGGCATGTGGAACTGTAAGTCCAACTAAACCTCTTTCTTTTGTAAATTGCCCAGTCTCAGGTATGTCTTAATCAGCATCGTGAAAACAGACTAATACATCACATTTCATCAAAATAAAAGACTTCAGTTCTTTGAAGGAATATTGTATGAAAATGAAAAGGCAAGCTACAGGCTGAAGGAAAATATTTTCAAAACACATAATTGAGTAAAGACTTATTGAGAATATACAAAGATTTGAAAAATGCAATAATAAAAAATGAATCAAAGAATAAATGGTTAAAAGACTTGAAAAAACACTTTATGAAAGAAGATATTTAGATAGCAATTAAGGAAGTGAAACATACTGCTGTTCATGGCCACAGCCCAAATTCTGTACACTTATCTGATCATTGACAAGGGTTCTCAACTGCTTTCCCTCTACCAGACTCCTAGCACCCCATTGCTTACTAAACACTGGTGGAAAAATTTTTCTCTTTGTTCAATGTATCCTTTCTCTTTTTTAAAGATGACACTGTTCGCATAAAAAATGATATTACTCATCATAGGGCCTATAATTTTCACTGTCTGCTGAGCATTATTTACACAACCCTGTTCTCCTATCTTTATAATTTTTGTCCAGTCAAGTCTTACCAAACCTTTAACTGTAGCCTCCTTTCAGAATAAATGAAATTATTTTTAAGTCTTCTACTCACATGTGAATTATTTTTTTTTTTAAGTGCAACACATCTTAAGCCCATCCAGGCATCTCACCCAAAGTATTTTGAATGTTCTTTCCCACCCACATCCCCAGTCACCCAAATGATACATGTCTATCCTTTTTAAGAATGCTAAGACATTTCACATTCCTTGTTGAATGAGCTATTAATATGGAGTATCTAATCTAATCAAGGTTTTATGTTCTAATTAATTCCATTTTTTATTCTCAAGTTTATTTTATCCTTAACTTGCATTTTGAAACTTGTTCCTTTGGCAAGTAAAATCTTAATTTACTTCCTTTATTATTTTTTTGTTTCTTGAGAAGTTTTTGTGATTAAGATTCTCACTTATCTACTACGTACTCATACATTGTTTTCAATGATATATTTTACGGGAGCCAAAATCTAGTTCTGCACATATAATGGAAATTATCTTTGGCTCATTGTCTTGTTAGAGAACAGGAAATATAGGTATACTTTTGAATATTATAGTCTTTCTTATATTTCTGATTATCAGTCAATAATAAAAGAAAACAAAAATAAAATTTGGTTTTTGTTAGCATCAGAATTTCTAGGGTTTATACTAAAGAAGTCTGTTTAGAAATTTAAATGAAATAAAATATCAGAATTTAAAAAATTCCAAAAAAACAATGTCAATTAATTTACATTTAAACTAAGCTGATAATATATGAGTAATACAAGTGTTCAGACATACCATGCAACTGTTAGGGCTGCAACAGTGCAATGAGAGACAGGGAAACATGAAGTTTAATAGTGGGTATCAAGAAAACTCTTCTTTGCCTTTATTAAAAGAACAGTAAGTGTTTCAAACAAAAACATGTAAAATGAATAACCATGTTAAAATCAGGACTGAACCACTAACTATAGGGTAGTAATGTTTTTCTTAAAAAAACAATAACATTGAATATTTAAAAATAGTTTTAAAGCATTTCCTGATAACTAAAAGCATGCTGTTGATATTGCATTTCTGAAGAGACATAGGAAAGACTGCATTAAGATAAACTAACATGCAAGAAAAAAGTATAATAATTATGTCTTGAATTTACTATTCAAACAAATTTTATAATGAATCATTTTTCCTCATGAGTATATATTGATTATATAGGAATAGCCATCAACAAACATAATCATTGTTATTACAGTTAAATAGATGAGAAAATTTTAAAAGTAATTATTAAATATAAATATGACTAAATAAATTGTATAAAATATAACAACTCAATCTTGTGTGAAATAAAAATGTAAGATAAAATAAACTACATTAAAACGTACAGTATATACATTTCTGAAATATTAAAACACTGATGGCCGGGTGCGGTGGTTCATGCCTGTAATTCCAGCACTTTTGGGGGCTGAGGTGGGCGGGTCACAATGTCAACAGATCAAGCCCATCCTGGCCAACATGTGAAACCCTGTCTCTAGTAAAAATACAAAAAATTAGCTGGGCATGGTGGTGCGCACCTGCAGTCCCAGCTACTCAGGAGGCTGAGGCAGGAGAATTGCTTAAACCTGGGAGGTGGAGGTGGCAGTGAGCCGAGGTCACACCACTGCACTCCAGCCTGATGACAGAGCGAGATGCCATTTCAAAAAAAGAGAAAATGATAATTGCACAGTTGGATATCTAAAAACAGTTTTAAGGAGCAGTTTTAGGTTTACAGCATAATAAAAAGAAAGGTACAGAGATTTTTCATATATCCCCTGCCCCATATATGCATAGCCTCCCCTATTATCAACATCTCCCACCAGTGTGGCACATTGGTTACAATTGATAACCCTACACTTACACAATATAATATGCCAAAGTTCATAGACAACACTAGGGTTCACTCAGTGTCCTCCATTCTATAGATTTTGACAAATGCATACTGACATGTTGAACCATTATAGTATTATACTGAGGGAAAATACAAAATAAATCATGAATGTTCCCCCAGAGAAATATAAGGAGGAAAAAAATGGGCAACAACAAGAGGTAGTGTTTCTACAGAAAGAAAAGAGCTAGTTTTAAGATTCTTGGTTTCAAGATGAAGCAATGTCACATGTTCCAGGTGTCAAATAATGAATAAAATTATTTTTGATTTATAACTAGAAAATTCATCAACAATTTTAAGAAGAGCTATTTTGGAAGTTAAAATTTTGAGTGCTGAAATTGAGATATGAGAGATATAAAGGAGGGGAAACTATTGAGTTATTGAATTTTTTTATTTTTTATTTTTTTTGAGACAGAGTCTTGCTCTGTTGCCCAGGCTGGAGTGCAGTGGCGCGATCTCTGCTCACTGCAACCTCCGCCTCCCAGGCAGGTTCAAGCAATTCTCCTGCCTCAGCCTCCAAAGTAGCTGGGATTACAGGCGCCCGCCACCACGGCTGGCTAATTTTTTGTACTTTTAGTAGAGACGGGGTTTCACGCCATTGCTTGGATTACAGGTGTGAGCCACCGTGCCCGGCCAACTATTGAATTTTTAATGCAAAAAGGATAAGATGGAGTTAATAGGTTACTTGAGATAGTGTGAATTTTCAATGTAGAGCATTTGAATGCTGAATACAATGTACGTAAGGAGAGGATGAAGGCAAAAGAAAAATGGATAACTTATTATGGAAAAGGTATCTGACAGGTTTAGTGGAAAATTGAATCAGGCAGAGGTAAAAGGGTTATTGTTGATCAGGAGATGAAAATCAATTAATATATACTAGAAATATAACATTTCTTATTTTGGTTCTAATATTTCTTTTCTATATAGTATATTTGTTGTTTTTGTTCTAATATGAATTTCCTCTTTTTCAAAATTCAGTAATTGCAAGTGTGAAAAAGATGTAGGATTCAGAATTCATTCCAAAAATGATCAATTACAGAAGGCTGTGAGGGAATAATGAGACTTAATTTAGCATAAGTAAAGTTACACATTTGTATAAATATGAAAATAACAGCAAATGTGTTTAACATCCAAATATTTGGATAATTTATCATACCTAAGCCACTCTTTAAAAAAGGATTAGAAATAAATGTAACACCACTCAAAGAATAAATCAATTCAGTCAGATTCTAAGTGATACCTTCAGTGGTAATAAGGATTACCTTATTTATTTAGTTTTAATTTAGAACTGAGGCAAATTCAATTATGGTAAACAGTATAAATAATATAAAACTAAAAATAAATTGGAATGTTATTCTTCTTTATTACAAAAATGAGAAGAAAAGTAAAGTCTAGATTGTTCATGAAAGAAAACAACAGGGGATGAGAGATCATTACAACTATTAATAAAAATATATTATTTGATTGAATATAATTATATTATTAACAAGACAAGTAAGTTAAAATCCACTAGAAATCATACTTGCCTTTTAAATAATGCTGAGGTAGAAAGTAAAATAAAAATGACATCAAAATACATAAAAAACAATAATGAGAAACAACTACACATTAGGACCTATGAAAGCAATCAAGCTAAAACACTCAATGTAAAACCCAAAGCTTTAAATGTTCACACTACAAAATACTAAATTATGATGAAACAATTAAGAAATAAGAGTATCTGTCATCATATTTTATCATGTTGATGGCTCAAAAGTAAGATAAGTTATAAGACTATATTAATGAAATGGAAGTTTTAAGTGCCATTGTGTTGCTGTTAACAAGAGTTATCAGCAGTTACTTACACTTGATTGTAAGTTTTGCCTTCCCCTCAACCCCTTTTACCATTTTTTAATGATCCTTTCTGATTTTTCTCAAATTCATTTTTGTTGCACTGAAATACATACAAATAGTCCTTCAGAGGATACTGATAATTAATAAATTATGTGAGTCTGAAAATCTGAAAATATTTTAATTATATCTCATTGAATTATGTAATAAGAAATTACAGGGTCAACTCAATTTTCCAAAATCTTTTCTAGGTATTACACTGTTGTCATCAGCAATGACATTGCTATCTTAAAACATGACTGGATATTAGCCCTTTGTCAGATGGATAGATTGCAAAGATTTTCTCCCATTCTGTAAGTTTCCTGTTCACTCCGATGATAGTTTCTTTTGCTGTGTAGAAGCTCTTTAGTTTAATTAGATCCCATTTGTCATTTTGGCTTTTGTTGCCATTGCTTTTGGTATTTTAGTCATGAAGTCTTTGCCCATGCCTATGTCCTGAATGGTATTGCCTAGGTTTTCTTCTAGGATTTTTATGGTTTTAGGTCTTAAATTTAAGTCTTTAATCCATCTTGAGTTAATTTTTGTGTAAGCATAAGGAAGGGATCAAGTTTCAGCTTTCTACATATGGCTAGCCAATTTTCCCAGCACCATTTATTGAATAGGGAATCCTTTCCCCATTGCTTGTTTTTGTCACGTTTGTCCAAGATCAGATAGTTGTAGATGTGTGGTGTTATTTCTGAGGCCTCTATTCTGTTCCGTTGGTCTATATGTCTGTTTTGGTATAAATATCATGATGTTTTGGTTACTGTAGACTTGTGGTATAGTTTGAAGTCAGATAGCGTGATGCTTCCAGCTTTGTTATTTTTGCTTAGGATTGTCTTGGCTATGTGGGCTCTTTTGTAGTTCTATATGAAATTTAAAGTGGTTTTTTCCAATTCGGTGAAGAAAGTCATTGGTAGCTTGATAGGGATAGCATTACTTTGGGCAGTATGGGCATATTCATGACATTCATTCTTCCTATTCATGAGCATGGAATGTTCTTCCATTTGTCTGTATCCTCTTTTATTTCATTGAGCAGTGGTTTATATACACCATGGAATACTATACAGCCATAAAAAAGGATGAGTTCATGTCCTTTGCAGGGACATGGATGAAGCTAGAAGCCATCATTCCCAGCAAAATATCACAAAGACAGAAAACCAAGCACTGCATGTTCCCACTCACAAGTGGGAGTTGAACAATGAGAACACATGGACACAGGAAGGGGAACATCACACACTGGGGCCTATTGGGGGGTGGGAGGCTGGGGAAGGGATAGCATTAGCAGAAATACCTAATGTAAATGATGAGTTGATGGGTGCAGCACACCAACATGGCACACGTATACCTATGTAACAAACATGCACATTTTGCTCATGTACCCTAGAATTTAAAGTATTATAAAAAAACATTTTTTAAAAAAGAAAAAAAAACATGACTGATATATTTCTAATTTTTTATAGATATTGTTTTCATTTTTTAAATTTTAACCTTGGTACTAAAATTTTACTAAGATGTGACGTGATGTAGGTAGCTAGACATTCTGCCCAGTGTTTCTTAGGCCTTTTAATCCATTAAAAAGGCCACTAAATGTATTGGCATTTTTTCAGTATTAAGCTATGTTCTGTTACTGCTTATATCCACCCTCTTTCTTTTTTTCTCTTATCATGATGCCTGTTTGATTGATAATTAGATTTTTGGAGGTGTATCCTCCATTTTTTCTAACTTTTCTCAAATATTTTCTTTATATTTATAATATTGGACTGATTTCAGGGAGGGTTCTGTGGCTCAATTTTCTAGATTGCAGATTTTCTCTTCAGTTTTTTCTACTCATCTATTGAAACTTTTTATTGTTTTTCTCTCTCCTCTTCCCTGATTTTAACTTCCAACATATCTAACAATTTTCCATCTTTAAGAAATGCTGAATGAGAAACTCTCTTGAAAGAAAAGCATTCTATGGGAAAAGACGGACATTGATGACTAAGAAAACATTATTAATAATTAGTCTTGGAATGTGAATAAAGTTCAGCTATAACATAACCAATTAATTATAGTTAAAACTTTATTTTATGACATGTAAAACATAGTCTATTTTTACTTTATAATTCATACCTAAGAGTCTAACAGTATTTTTTTCAAAAGCAGAATATAAAATATTAAAATAAAGAAACGTTTGTGCCATGATTTAAAAATCTAAATGTCTTTCTTTTTAGTGGCATATAAAATAGTGATGAATCATAGATTCAACAAAATACTATATTCAAATAAAATGCCATGGTAAAGGACAGCCAGAGAGTTAAAATATGATGTAATGTTTTACACTTTGCAATTAAAGCACGGTTGATTTATGTAAGTATGAATTGCTTGGTTCACATGCAACATTGCTTTTGCTATGTCTGATCCTATAGGCTTTTATTGTTGTGTTCACACCGTGTCAAAAGAGGCAAGTTCCTGCAAGTGTATTTCAAAAAGTTAGTTTTAATTTTTATATAACCTGCTTATCTAAGTGAAATTATTAATCTCTTTATATTACTCAGAAGTCTCTGTTAATAAGCTACAGTCATAAATAGGAAAATTAGAACATCAAATTTCTATTTTGAATGGAAGTGATACTTTGAATTTAGGTAGTGGGAGGTTGAATTTTTGAAATCCTTTATTTTGCTTCTAATCCAAAAGTCCATTCGAGTTTGGGCAGATAAAACATACATTTCAATTACATTTTGAGAGAACTCTATTCACCCTGCAAGCAGCTAAAACCTTTAATTCTAAAGAGTTTTTTTTTTTTTCTAGTTTAGTCAATTATTATTCTGGCCCATAGTCCACAGAGCATGAAATCATCTCCAGGCTATCTTTTCTTCCTTGGTCAAATAAGAGTCTCGCTGAAATTATCAATGTTGGGGCAGGGAAAATAACGAGGAAAATTAGGTAAGTAATCTAAGTTACAGGCAGCTACTGGCACCACATGTGGTAAAGTACCAGTTTTGATACAAACAAGAATCTTAAAAAGAGCTTCCTTTCCCACTATTTTTAGATTGTTATCTAGGAAACTTTGACTCGTTTCAACATTCCTTCACGTGCCTGATTCTTACACTAGAAATTCAATAACAGCAAAGGGTCAAAACTGCTGTCAATTTAAGGAATTATTAACTATATTAAAGTTATCAAATGTGCCTAGAGGTGAGATCTGATTATTCAAAAATGGAGTTTGCTGGTCCATAAACATCGAATCATGCTAAACTGGTGTATTGCGTTGGATAAAAACATCAGGAAAAAAAGGTATTAAATCCAAGAGACAATCCTAGATGTCCTTCATAAGTAGCTTTCTATGACTTAAAGTATCATTTTCAAATATCTAATTTGTCTTCAAGGCATCATGCCAGAGGTAAAAGTTTTCTGAGATCATTGCCTATGGTAAGAACAATTGCTGCCTTGCCAACATCTTACATAGAAGAAGGTTTGGAATATATAATATATGTTTCCTCATGCATACCTCAATAGGATGCGGTGATTTCTTCCATTCTCTCAAGCTGCATTATGGCTCAGTCTCTGGGAACATTACCTACACTCAACTCAATGGCAAGGCCTTGTTCCTATTCCCATCAACCTTATTTCAGACCAAAAAAAAAAAAAAAATCCTAGAATGAGGCAGATGTCTGTAATTACTATTAGCTTCTTTTACACTTCAGAAGCTGTACCCTCCTTATCTACTAATTTCCAATTTCTCCCATACCTGCTCTGTTCTCAGTACTAGCTTAGTGCTGAACCAGATTTGATGAATACTTTCTTGCATATGATCTCATCTTTTTGGCTTCTTACCAGCAGCTGATATTTATTTTCTGTCATTGCTTCATCTACCACTCCGTCCATTTTCCCTTCTCTAAACTTTTTCCCTGTGTGCTCCCAAACACTGGGAGTTCTATTCTGTGGGAGGTACATTGGAAATTACCACGTGAGTTTAGAGTTATGACAGTCACTGAGAGGTCAAAGTGTCCTTACTGAGGACATTGCTAGGGGAATACGATGATAAAAAAGAAATCTAAGCTTTGCTCATTTTGTTCAGTGTATTATCTCATTTAAGAAAACTTTACTGCATACTGAATTAAACAATAATACACATGATAGAAAACAATAACACTACACCATCTATAAAATTTAATTTTGTCTGAGATGATTGCCTTTAGAGTGGTGATGGCAAATAGCAAGAACAATTAAGGAAGATGACAAGAATATTAGCAAACACAGGATAGCTTCACTCCTGAACAAAAAATAGGTTTGCCATTTTATCACTTTTATTCTCATTTATAAATTGAGTTTTGTATGTATGACACTTTAAAAAATTAAACTTGTTACTTGTGAATAATTATACTCAAATAGAAGTTGCTTTTAAATATTGCTGATGGATCTTGTGTTTCTTTTTACATAGATTTCCCCAATGACATCTTACATAATCAAAATATAATTATCAAAACAAGGAAATTAACATTTAGTTCGTGCACTACTATTAATACAATACTGTTAACTAAACTGCAAGCATTATTCAAGTTTCCCAGTCTTTTCTTGCCCGTCCTTCCTTCCTTCCTTCCTTCCCTCCTTCCTTCCTTCCCACCTTCCTTTTTTCTTTCTTTCTTCTATATCCCTCTTTTTTCTGTATAGTTTTATGGAATTTCATCATATGTATAAAGTCATGTGACCACTAGCACAAGGGGAATAAAATAGCTTAATCATCTAAAGGAAACTCCCTTAGTCTACTCCCTTTATGGTCACACCCTTCCTCAAATCCCATCGCTAGTAACCACACCTCTGATGTGCATCATCAAAATGTTGCCATTTTGAGAGTGTTACATGAATGGAATTATGCAGTTTGTACACCTTTAAAATAGGCTTTGTATTTCAATAAGATAAATATACAGGAGTAAGATTGCTCAGTTGTGTTGTAAGTGTACATTTTGCTTTATTAAAAGAAAACTATGAGCTATTTGACTGTTATCTTTCACATTGCCACCAACAACGAATGAGTTTCCATTCTTCTGCAACCTCATCAGCACTTGAGCTGGTAAGTAGTATTTAGTTTAGCCATTTAATATGTGTGTAGTGTTATTTTATCATGGCTTTAACTTAAATTTCCCTAATGTCTAATAATGTTGAACATGTTTTCCTGTGTTTGTTTGCCATCCACATATTATCTTTGGAAAAATTCACTTTTATAGTAAATTTATATTCCCAAATGTTTCCAAGTACAGTATCATGTTGTGAATGAGATATTTATTAATTCAGTGAGCAGACATATAAATGCAACATTTATCAGGCATTCAAAAATGGGTTATAATTCACTTAACCATTTCAGATAAGAGTATGCTTGTGGTAAACAGTTCTAAGAAAAGTGAAAAAGTTAATATTTTGAATTACTATAATGAATAAAAGATTTATAGCTAGTTAGCATTAGTGTGTTTTTGTGGTATTTCCATATGATTAGAGCATCCTTGTGATATTTCCATGTGAAGTTTTTCTCAAATGATAGGATATTTGAGGTAAAGTTAATTTTTCATTACTGTTGTCTTTAATTACATGCCCTAAAATTCCAGTGGTGAAAATCATAACTCAGTGGTGGATTTAAATTTGATGGATTTAATTTACTGTAGCCAATAATTCAAATACAAATAATATAAAATGTATTTATAATTAAATATTTTATCAACTAAGTGTTTGCTAGAAAGAGCCCAATCTTTTAAAATCAAATGTTAAATATACTATTTGCTTTGGCATTTAACACACTTTGAAAAAAAAAAACTCTTCACTTACTACCTTTTTTAAAATAAAATTATTTCTATGTGTTTTTTCCACATATTCCCAGTCAATTATTGTAATATTATTTATTTGTTTGCTTACTTATTTTCAACATATAGATTTTATTTTTAATGTTTGTATATACATAATAGGTGTATGTATTTATGGGGTACATGAAATATTTTGATGGTGTTATGCAATATATAATAATTACATCAGGGTAAATGGTGAATCCATTACCTCAAGCAGTTATCCTTTCTTTGTATTAAAATATTCCAATTATACTCTGTTTGTTATTTTTAAATGTACAACAAATGATTGTTGATTGTAGTCACTCTGTTCTATCAAATACTAGATCTTATTGATTCTGTCTAACTCTATTTTTGTACCCATTAACAATGCACATTCCGTCTGCTCCCCACTGCCTTTCCCAGTCTCTGGTAAACATGATTCTACTTTTTATCTCTATGATTTCAACTGTTTTTTTTTTTAACCTCCCACAGATGAGTTAGAACATACAAATTTTGTATTCCCCTGTCTGGCTTATTTCACTTAAGCTAATGTCTTCTACTTCCATCCATGTTATTGTAAATGACAGAATCTAATTCTTTTTCATGACTGAATAGTACTCCACTGTGTATATGTACCATTTATTCTTTATTCATTAATCCATGGATGACACTTAGGTTGCTTCTAAATCTTGGCTATTATGCCATAATGCAGCAATAAACATGGAAGAACAATTATCTCTTTGATTACTGATTTACTTTATTTTAGTATATACTTAGCCATGTGATTGCTGAATCATATAGTAATTATATTTTTAGTTTTTTGAGGAGCCTCTAAACTGTTCTCCAAAGTGGTTGTTCTAATTTACGTTCCCACTATCAGTGTATAAAAGTTCCCTTTTCTCCACATCCTCACCAGCATTTGTTATTTCCTGTCTTTGGATATAAGACATTTTAACTGGGGTGAGGTGATATCTCATTGTAGTTTGTATTTGCATTTTTCTGATAGTCAATGATATTGAACATCTTTTCACATGTCTGTTTGCCATTTGTATTTCTTCTTTTAAAAAATGTCTATTTAAATCTTTTGCCCATTTTTTATAAGATTACCAGACTTTTTTTCCTATAGAGTTGTTTGAGCTCCTTATGTATTCTGCTTATTACTATCTTGTCAAATGGATAGTTTGCAAATTTTTTGTACCATTTTGAGGGATGTCTCTTTACTTTTTGGATCGTTTCCTTTGTGGAGCAGAAGATTTTTAACTTTTTAACTCATTTGTTTATTTTTGCTTTAGTTACTTTTGCTTGCGGGGTATTACTGGATTAATCTTTGCCCAGTCCAATGTCCTGGAGAGTTTCCCCAGTGTTTTCTCATAGGATTTTCATAATTTGAGGTCTTAGATTTAAGTCTTTAATCCACTTTGATTTGATTATTGCATATGGTGAGAGATGAGGGTTAAGTTTTCTTATTTTGCATGTGGATACCCGGTTTTCCCAGCACCATGTGTTTCACAGATTGTCCTTTCCCCATGTATGTTCTTGGCACCATTTTCAACAATGAATTCACTGCAGATGTATGGATTTATTTCTGCATTTTATATTGTATTCTGTTGGTCAAGGTGCCTGTTTCTTTTATGCCAGAGCTATGCTGTTTTGGTTACTAATGCTATGTAGTATAATTTGAAGTCAGGCAATGTGATTCCTTCAGTTTTGTTCTTTTTGCTCAGGGTAGCTTTGACTATTCTGAGTCTTTTGTGGTTCCATATAAATTTTAGGATTGTTTTTCTCAATTTCTGTGAAGAATGTCATTGATATTTTGATAGGGATTGAATTCAACCTGTAGATGCTTAAAATAATATTGAATTGCTTTTAACAATATAGATTCTTCCAATCCAAGAACATGCAATATCTTTCCATCTTTTTTGCATCCTGTTTAATTTCCTTGGTGAATTTTCTACAGTTTTCATTAAAATGACCCTTAACTTCTTTGATTAAGTTAATTTCTAGGTATTTAATTTTATCTGTGGCTATTGTAAACGGCATTACTTTTTTATTTCTTTGTCAGATTGTTCATGTTGGCTTATAGAAATGCTACTGATTTTTGCATGTTGATTTCTTTTTCTGTAACTTTACTGAATTTATCAATTCAAATGATTTTTTTGGTGGAGTCTTTAGGTTTTCCAAATATAAGATCATATCTTCTGCAAACAAGGATAATTTGACTTTTTCGTCTCGAATTTGGATGCTTTTCATTTATTTATCTTGTCTGCTTGCTCTAGCTAGGACTTCCAGTACTATGTTGAATAACACTGGTGAAGTGGGCATCCTTGTTTTGTTACAGATCTTAGAGGAAAGGCTTTCAGTTTTCCTGCATTTAGTATTATACTAAATGTGGGTGTATTGTATATGGCTTTTATTCTGTTGAGGATTGTTCCGTCTATATCCAGTTTTTTGAGAGTTTTAATCAGGAGAGGATGTTGAATTTTATTAAATGCTTTTTCAGCATGAATTTCAATGATCATACGATTTTTTACTTCATTTTGTTAATATCACATTATTTGATTTGTTCAAGTTGGAGCATCCTTGCTTCACTGAGATAAATCTTACTTGGTCATGGTGAATAATTGTTTCAATGTATTATCAAATTCACTTTGCTACTAATTTGTTGATAATTTTTGCATAAATGTTTTTCAGGAATATTGGCCTGTAGTTTTCTTTTTTCGATATGTCTTTGTCTGACTTTGGTATCAGAGTAATACTGGCCTTATAGAATGAGTGTGGAAGTGTTCCATCCACTACTATTCAAAATATTTTGAGTTGGATTGGTATTAGCTTTTTGTACAAATGTTTGGTAAAATTCAGTAGTGAAACCATCAATTCCTGGATTTTCTTTGCTGGAAGGCATTTTTATTAGGGCTTCGATCTCAGTATTTGTTATTGGCTTGTTCAGGTTTTCTATTTCTACATGGTCAAATCTTGACCATGAAGGTTTTCCAATTACTTGACATGTAGCTGCTCATAGCAGCTTCTAAGAATCCTTTGAATTTCTGAAGTATCAGTTGTAATATCTTCTTTTTCGTGTCTGATTTTATTTATTTGGATCTTCTCTTTTTTGGGTAGTCAAGCTAAATATTTGTCAATTTTATTTAACTTAAAAAAAAACAACTTTTGGGGTTTTTTCTTTTAAATTTTATTTATTTATGCTGTGATTTTATTATTTCTTTTCCTTTACTGATTTTGGGTTTACTTTGCTCTTTCTTTTCTAGTTCTTTAAGATGTATCATTAAGTAGTTTTTTGAAGTTTTTCTACTTTTTTGATTGAAGCACTTGCTATAAACATTCGAAGTACTGCTTTTGATGAATACCACAGGTTTTGATATGTTGTGTTTCCATGTGCATTTGTTTTTTTTTTTTAGATTTTCTTCTTAAATTTTGCACTGACACACTAGTCATTTGGGAGAATATTATTTAATTTCCATGTGCTTGCATAGTTTCCAAAATTTCTCTGTTATTGATTTCTAGTTTTACTGCCTTGTAGTCAGAAAAGATATTTAATATAATTTCAGTAATTTTGGAATTTTTAAGGCTAGCTTTGTGACATAACATACCCTTCAAAATGATCCATGGGCTGAGGAGAAGAATGTGAATTCTGCAGTCATTGGATAAAATATTCTGTGCAACATCTATTAGGTCCATTTGGTCTATAGTCCACCTTCAATCCGATGTTTCATTGTTGATTTTCTGTCTGTATGATCTTTCCAATGCTGAAATGTGGTGTTGAAATCCCCAGCTATTATTTCATTGAGGTCTAGCTCTCTCTTTAGCTCTAATAATATTTGCTTTATATATCTGTGTGCTCCATTGTTGGGTGCACGTATATTTACAATTGTTATATTCTCTTGCTGAGCTGACCCCTTTATCATTATATTCTGACATTTGCCTCTTTTTATAGTTTTTGTCTTAAAATCTATTTTGTCCAATATAAATATAGACAACTTTTTTTCTTTTTTTGGTTCCATTGGCATGGAATATCTTTTTCCATCCTTCTATTTTTAGTGGATGTATGCCTTTATAGCCAAAATATGTTTCTTGTAGGCAACATAATTTTGGGGCCTTGGTTTTCTTCATCCATTTCTCCTCTTTATGTCTTTTGATTGGAGAGTTTGGTCCATTTTCATTCAATGTTATTATTGATAAATAGGAATTGACTCCTGCCATTTTTTTATTTGTTTTCTGGTTGTTTTGTGATGTTTTCTTCCTTCCTGTCTTTATTTTAATGAAGGATATTTTTATTGTGATAAGCCTTAATTTATTGTGTTATATTTTGTGTATATCTCTGTCTCTCTTGAATTGATCACTGATATCTTATATAGTTCATTCGGTGAGATCATATTTTCCTGGATGGTCTTGATGCCTGTGGATGTCCATCGTTTTTTTTTCTTGGCATTGAAGAGTTAGATATTGATTGTAATTTTTGCAGTCTTGGATTGTTTATACATGTCCTTGGCAAGTTTTTCCAAGTATTAAAAGGGACTTGGGTGTTGGGACCTTAGTCTTTGGTCACTGTAGCCATGTAGGCATTAGGGAGCACCCCATGCACAAAAATACTGTGGCTCTTTCAGATTTATACGGGTACTATCTTGGTCGTCTTGGGTGAGATCTGGGAAAATGTCCTGGGATATCAGGTAGAAACTCTTGTTCTTTTCCTTTACTTCCCCCCAACCAAACAAAGTGTCTGTCTCTCTGTGCTGAGCTGCCTGGACCTGGGGTATGGGTGACACATGCACCCCTGTGAGCACCAGTAGTGGGACTGTGCTGAGTCAGATCCAAAGCCAGCACAACACTTGGTCTTGCCCAAGGCTTAAGGTATCTACTGCCTGGCTACCACTTATGTTTTCTCAAGGCCCAAGGGCTCTACAATCAGCAGAAGACAAATTCCACCAGGTCTGTGTCCTTCCCTTCAGGGACATGAATTGCCTTCAGCCCTGGTTGGGTCCAGAGATGCCATCTGATAGACAGAACCTCGTGAAAGGAAGCATGAGAATCTACCTGGTGCTCTATGCTACTGTGGCTGAGCTGGTACACACACTGTAAGACAAAGTCCTTTCCACTCTTCCTTCCCTTTTCCTCAAGCAGAAGAGTCTCTTCCCATGGCCACCACCATCCCAGGTCTGTGGCAATTACTGCCTGGTTACTGCCAATGTTCATTAAGGGGCCACTGAATCCTGCCTGATCTGATTCTGTCTCTTCAGGTCAGCAGGCTCTTCTCTCACCTAGGGCAGGCCCAGAAATCCTGTCCAAGAGCCAGGGCCTAGAATTGGGGACCCCATCAACCTACTTGTTTCTCTACATCACTGTGGCTGAGCTAGGAACTAAGCTCTAAGACAAAGTCCCCTTCATTCATTCTCTTGTTTCTCTAGCAGAAGGAGTCTCTCCCCATGGTTCCCACAGATGAGAATGTGCTGGGTCACCCCTGAAGCCAACATGGCCCTGGGTCTCACTCAAGGCCTGTGGTGAGAACTGCCTGGGTACCACTGATGTTTATTGAAGGCCCAAGGGCTCTTAAGTCTGCAAGTGATAAATCTTGCCAGGACTGGATCTTTCCCTTCAAGGCAATAGGTACCCTTCTGGCCCAGGGTGTGTCTAGAAATGTCAACCAGGAGCTAGGGCCTGGAATGGGGACCTCAAGACTGTTCCTGATACCCTATTCTTCGGTAGCTACACTGATGTCCACGTTTCAATACAAAGTCCTCTTTATTCTCCCCTCTCCTCTCCTTAGGAGGAGGGAAGGAGTCTCTTCCAGAGCTGCAAACTGTGCTGCCTGTGTTTGGGGCAGCGATGATGCAAGCACTCTCTTGGATGCACTAGCTGGTGTTTCACTAGGTCATCTCCACCCAATATCCACTAGCTTCAAGCCCAGCACATCACCAGGACTTGTCCAGGAATTGAAGTCTCTTTGGCCTAGACTGCCTTTTAAGTTTATTTAAGACCCCTGAGAACTTTAGCCCATAGTGGTGGGTCTTGCCTGAACTCAGGCTCCTACCACTGAAATGGAGAATTTTCCTCTGGCTAGAGAAGCTCTGTCTGTAGGCACTGGCTGAGTTTTGCCCTGTGTTGTTTTCTGCTGTGACAGGGCAGTACTGAGTTTCAACGTCAAGTCACACAATTACTGTTTGCTGCCTCCCCTGAATGCACAGATTGTCTTTCCATACCACTCAGCCATTGCTGGGGGATGAAGGAGGGCTGGTGTAGGTGATTCAAGATTGTCTTTCCTCTTCAGTGCCTCTTTCCTTAATATAATGTTAAAACCACACACTGTGATTGTACTCCTGATTTTTGGTTCTTATGGAGGTGCTTTGTTTTGTGCGGATAGTTCTTCAATTTGGTGTTCCTATAGGGCGGACAATTGTTGGAGCCTTCTTTTCATCAATCTTGCCCCACTTTCCTCAGTTATTTATGTTATTGGCCTTCCTCAAATAGTAAGGTGTAAAATAGCATATTTTAATACATGGAAGTTATTATATTGAAAAATAGCAAACTTTAATAAGATAGGCAGATTTTTAAAAAAGAAAATGTCTCTGTGGATAGACAAGATGGACAAATTAATGAAAATAAAATTGGTGAAAAATAGCCTTCATGAATAGAAAAATTAAAGGGGTCAAAAGGAAAGAAGGCAAGTTTATTAGCCATTAGAGTCCCTGAAGAAAGAGAAGGAAGACCACATCACCTCCATCTGGAGATAAAAATCTCATGAGGGGGTGACATTTGAACTTGGAACAGGAGGAATGACTACCAATTTTTTAGGTAGAAAAGATGTAGTAGGCAGCATAATGCCTTCTAAAATATGTCCATGTCCTGACTTGTAAATATGCTACTGAAAATGAAAAAGGAACTTTGCAAATGGCATTAAATTAAATATCTAAAATGGATATTATCCCACCATATGGGCCTGATGTAATCAAGAACCCCAGAGAGAAGTGAGAGGATCAGCCTCAGAGAAGAAGATGTGACAAAAGAGGCAGAGGTTGAATTGTTGCAGGGCCATGAGCCAAGTAATGCATACATCTTCTAGAAAATGGAAGAGGCAAGAAATTAATTCTCCCCTAGAATCTCGAGAGGAACTGCTGTCCTGTTGACCCATCTTAGACTTCTTCAGAATTGTAAAATAATAATTGGTGTTGTTTTTAAGCCACTAAGTTTGTGAAAGTTTGTTACAGATAACAATAGGAAACTAACACAGATGGAGAAAGACATGCTAAGAATATGAAAAATGCAAAACTTGATGTACAGCCTATTCAGAGAATGAGAGAAAGTTTGAAGTGTTTTGACTCTATGGTATTGTAGAAGAAGGTCTGGAGAAGAGATTTGTATAAATCAAAACAGGTAACGTTACTTAAAGCCAGACAAAGGATCTTGTGTGAATATTTATAGCAGATTTCTATCATAGAAAATAATTCTAGCAGTAATGAGCTGCGAACACTGGAGTTATAAGACTAAGAAGATTTTTATATTCTATATAATTTTATTGTAATCTGGTCATATAAACCCTTCACAAATGCTTAAATTAGATGAATAGAAGAAGATAGGTTTAGTTAACTCTAATAATATTCTCTGCTATACTTTTTTCTTTGCTCATAATGATTCCTCATTTCCTCTTCTTTTATATAAAAATGAGCATAAGAAATCATTATAATAAGAGTAGAAGTGTACTGTAGTTTCTCCTAGGAAGCTTACCATATGGTACCTGTCTCTTTGTTATTTAATTTAACTTGATCTGTTAAATATCAGACTTGTAAGAGCTCATGTGTCATACTCATTAAAGTGTCATATTCTTTTAAGGATCTAATCCCAAAGAGACATGCATCCTCTTGATAAGATAAAAAATATTTTTATATGCCACAACTAAGAAATAAAAACTCAATATGTGCTCAAGGAATAAAAGGCATTTTAAAATAGTATTGCAGATATTTTTTTTCCTACTCTATCTTTGTTTTAGAAATTCATCTGGGAAAAAATGTAGCTAATGACAGATGCATGCAATTAGGTATTTAATTTGCCTACTCATAAGAATGAATAACTTAACAATTTCTCCAATGTAATTTACGAAAGTAAATAACATTGATGCTCGCGAACATTAATAATCAAAGAAATACAAATAAACATAATTGGATTACTAAAGTGAATTATTTTAAAAAGTATTTAATTTTTAAAATATCACATTAAAGGCCTTTTCTGCATCTATGAGATAATCATGTGGTTTTTGTCTTCGTTTCTGTTTATGTGCTGGATTACGTTTATTGATTTGCATATGTTGAAGCAGCCTTGCATCCCAGGGAGGTATTGATGGGGCATATCTCAAAATAATAAGAGTTATTTGTGATAAACCCACAGCAAATATCATACTGAATGGGCAAAAACTGGAAGCATTCCCTTTGAAAACTGACACAAGACAAGGATGCCCTCTCTCACCACTCCTATTCAACATAGTGTTGGAAGTTCTGGCCAGGGCAATCAGGCAAATGAGAGAAATAAAGGGTATTCAATTAGGAAAAGAGGAAGTCAAATTGTTCCTGTTTGCAGATGACATGATTGTATATTTAGAAAACCCCATCGTCTCAGCCCAAAATCTTCTTAAGCTGATAAGCAGCTTCAGCAAAGTCTCAGGATACAAAATCAATGTACAAAAATCACAAGCATTCTTATACACCAATAACAGACAAACAGAGAGACAAATCATGAGTGAACTCCCATTCAAAATTGCTTCTAAGAGAATAAAATACCTAGGAATCCAACTTACAAGGGATGTGAAGGACCTCTTCAAGGAGAGGTCAACTGCTCAACAAAATAAAAGAGGACACAAACAAATGGAAGAACATTCCATGCTCATGGATAGGAAAAATCAATATCATAAAATGGCCATACTGCCCAAGGTAATTTTTAGATTCAATGCCATCCCCATCAAGCTACCAATGACTTTCTTCATGGAATTGGAAAAAGCTACTTTAAAGTTCATATGGAACCAAAAAAGAGCCCACATCGCCAAGACAATCCTAAGCCAAAAGAAGAAAGCTGGAGGCCTCATGCTACCTGACTTCAAACTATACTACAGGGCTACAGTAACCAAAGCAGCATGGTACAGGGACTAAAACAGATATATAGACCAATGAAACAGAACAGTGCCCTCAGAAATAATACCACACATCTACAACCATCTGATCTTTGACAAACCTGACAAAAACAAGAAATGGGGAAAGGATTCCTTATTTAATAAATGGTGCTGGGAAAACTGGCTACCCATATGTAGAAAGCTGAAACTGGATCCCTTCCTTACACCTTATACAAAAATTAATTCAAGATGGATTAAAGACTTAAATGTTAGACTTAAAACCATAAAAACCCTAGAAGAAAACCTAGGCAATACCATTCAGGACATAGGCATGGGCAAGGACTTCATGTCTAAAACACCAAAAGCAATGGCAACAAAAGCCAAGATTGACAAATGGGATCTAATTAAACTAAAGAGCTTCTGCACAGCAAAAGAAACTACCAGCAGAGTGAATAGGCAACCTACAGAATGGGAAACAATTTTTGCAATCTACTCATCTGACAAAGGGTGAATATCCAGAATCTACAAAGAACTCAAACAAATTTACAAGAAAAAAAAAACCCCATCAAAAAGTGGGTGAAGGATATGAACAGACACTTCTCAAAAGAAGACATTTATGCAGCCAACAGACACATGAAAAAATGCTCATCATCACTGGCCATCAGAGAAATGCAAATCAAAACCACAATGAGATACCATCTCACACCAGTTAGAATGGCAATCATTAAAAAGTCAGGAAACAACAGGTGCTGGAGAGGATGTGGAGAAATAGGAAGACTTTTATACAGTTGGTGGGAGTGTAAACTAGTTCAACCATTGTGGAAGACAGTGTGGCAATTCCTCAAGGATCTAGAACTAGAAATACCATTTGACCCAGCCATCGCATTACTGGGTGTATACCCAAAGGATTATAAATCATGCTGCTATAAAGACACATGCACACATATGTTTATTGCAGCACTATTCACAATAGCAAAGACTTTGAACCAACCCAAATATCCATCAATGATAGACTGGATTAAGAAAATGTGGCACATATACACCATGGAATACTATGCAGCCATAAAAAATGATGAGTTCATGTCTTTTGTAGGGACATGGATGAAGCTGGAAACCATCATTCTCAGCAAAGTATCGCAAGGACAAAAAACCAAACACTGCATGTTCTCACTCATAGGTGGGAATTGAACAATGAGAACACTTGGACACAGGAAGGAGAACATCACACACTGGGGCCTGTTGTCGGGTGCGGGGAGCGGGGAGGGAAAGCATTAGGAGATATGCCTAGTGTAAATGATGAGTTAATGGGTGCAGCACACCAACATAACAAACCTGCACGTTGTGCATTTGTACCCTAGAACTTAAAGTATAATTAAAAAAAATTAAAATTAGTATAAATATTTACTTCAAGAAGGGCTTATAAAATGCACATTTCTGTTAAATAAAATGGCCTTGACTAGCAAGAGTCATAAGCCTTTGTTTTTTATTGATATGAAAATTAATGAATTATTATAATATTAATAATTCAAATGAATAATTATTTCTTTTCTATATTTTCCAAAAATCACTCAAAAACAAAAGTAAATTATCACAAAAATATTACTCAATAATATGTATTAAGTAAAATTTGAAAATTCAAAGTAATCTAATTATCTAATGTTAAGTGTTAAATCATAGTACACAAATACTATAAAATATTATACATGTAATTAAAATAATGATTATGAAGATCAGGTATAAAAATAGAAGTGTCCTACTGTAGTGAAATGAAAATGGCAGATTATTTTGATTACTATGACAAGAAACCTGGCTGTATGTGTGGATTTTAGGATGTCAAAATGAAATGCATTCAAGGTGGTCGCATTTTTATTGTTATTATTATTTTCTATTACAGATTCAGGGAGAAAATTTTTTAACTAATAAAATTTCATTTAAATCACAAGTGATTATTTTTTTTCACTGTGAAATTGAGATTTATCTTGAAAATTCTGATTTGTAACACTAAATATTAGTCATTTAAATATACAGAATATTGAAATAAACTTCCATCTTTAATAATCTAAATAGATTTTAGACTTAGCTTTAAATTTAGAAACAATCCAAAATATTAAAATAATATCCTGAAATGTTTTTCTATAAAATAAACAACTATCCCTGCTTTTAGGCATAGCATTATCCTGGTCTTATAACCTGCTTCCCTGAAATCTAGGAAAGAGATCTTGGTATCCCCACAGCAGGTGACATGGTTTCAAGGGACTCAGAGAGACAGGGTCTCACTCTGTCACCCAGGCTGGAGTAAAACGGTGTGATCAAGGCTCACTGTAGCCTTGACCTTCCAATCTCAAGCAATCCTCCCACTTCAGCCTCTTGAGTAGCTGAGAGTAGAAGCAGGCACTACCACACCCAGGTGGTTTTTAAATTTTTTTTACAGATGGGATCCCACTATGTTGCCCAGGCTGGTCTCCAACTCCTGGGCTCAAATGGTCCTCCTGCTTCAGCCTCCCAAAGTGCTGGAATTACAGGCATGAGCCATCATGCCTGGCCTTGAATTTAATGTTTTACTTTTATTATGATGTGTATGATTAAATGTTGGCAAAGATGCTTTATCATATTTGGACATTTTTCCTATATTGCAATTTCACTTTTATGTTTTAAATATTGGCTGATTTTTATCAAATATTTTCAGCCCTTAACTATGTGTTTATAACATAACTGATTAATTTGTGTTAACAAGGCATCTGAAATAGGAAATATTTTTATATGAAATGCACAATCCTAGTCTTGTATTTGTATCAGCTAAACCTTAGTTGAATATGGTGAATTATATTATTTAAACTCTTTTACCTTCAATTTGGTGTAATTTTACTCATTTTTAATAATTAAACTGGTAACTAAAATGTATTTACAGAGCATATGTATTATATTTGTCAACCTGTGATATTAGCCTAATGAGGGATTGGTATTTTTCTGTAGGCTGTGAACATTTGCATAGCATTGAACATTTCTGTTCTTTGAAACTTAACTAAATTTCTCAAAAGAATCATATGGTAGTTATGACTTAATTACTAATGGGCATTTCTAAACACCTTCCTGATGGAGGATATTATTCCCTCATTACCATATGTCTCGGTGTTCTACATTTTAAAAAATTAACTTTAATTATTTTTTGAATATTACCCATTTTCTCTAAATTTCCAAATATTTTAGTCTTTATTCTATTGTGATTATATATCCCTTCTTCTGACAGTCATTTCTTTATTTTGTACTTATTCTGTACTTATTAGGTATTTGTCTATTTTATTTATCTATTCAGGTCACTTTTCAGTAGTTAAAAATCCATTAATTTTACTGTTTAGTTGAATTAATTGCATTCTCCTACTTTTATGTTTCATATTTTTGTGCTTAATTTGTTTCAATCTTTTATTTTTCTTGTTAAAAGGAATCCATTATTGTTTGCATTATCATTGACGACTGTGAGAATCTGCAGAAAAAAACAGTATGGAACTACAACTTCACGTTCTTGAGAAAAGCTTGCAGTGTAAGATGCGTTTGTTTGTGGTGCCTGAGGAAGAGAGGTTGGTGAAATTGGAGTTGGACTCAGTGAATCGGAAATAGTTTTGTTTTTTTTTATTATACTTTAAGTTTTAGGGTACGTGTGCACAACGTGCAGGTTTGTTACATATGTATACATGTGCCATGTTGGTGTGCTGCACCCATCAAATCGTCATTTGGAGTTAGGTATATGACAGGAAGGGGAACATCACACACAGGAAATAGTTTTAATTCTCCAATGGAACTCACAGTGAAGTTGTCAAGTCCCCTGATTTCTCAACTATACCAACTAGTTCAATAAGCAAAGAGAGTATGCTTGTGCCTACTTGTTGCACAATGAAAAAATCAAATAATTTCATTGATTCCAGCAGCAGAAAAGAGAGTTGGTAGTGCTGAGCTGCTGAAGGTTCATTACTGCCTAGCCTTGAGAATGGAGGCCCCACTGGGTACTCTTCATAAGAGATGCCCCAACTCGTCAAAGGAATTATGGTAATCTCCTTATTTTCTGTTTTACATTCTTCCCTCTGCTAATCTCAGTACACTCATATACTAAGTTTCTTGTCTGTTAAGTGATCTCACATGTTTTGAAACCAAGTTCAGATAAACTCACAAGTGGGTTAAGGGGCCAGAATAGTTTAAAAGAAATACAATTACTTCATTATCTCCCTTACACGTGAACTTTAAAATGTTGACCTTATAAAAGTAGAGAGCAGAATAGTGGTTACCAGAGGCTGGCAGGTAGGGGCATGGGAGGTGTTGATCAAAGGTAAGAAATTTCACTTAAGGAAGAGGAATAAGATTTTGAGATCTATTGTACAGAATGCTGACAATACTTAATAATAATATATTGTATATTTCAAAATTACTGAAACAGTAGATTTTAAATGTCCTCACTACAAAAAATGATAAGTATTATAGGTGATTAGATATGTTACTTAGCTTGATATAATCATTAAATGATGAATATATATCAAAACATCAAGTACAATTATTATTTATCAAGTAATTTTTTTAAAAAATAAAAGGAAAGACAGGCAGAAGGAATTATCATTGCTGTGTTGATGAAACAGAATGAACAAAAGATAAATTTTGTTTCTGGAATTTAAAAATGAGAGTTTCTTAATTTTAAAAATGTGATTCTGTAAGACAAGACTTGGAATGGCAAATAAAGATAACATTTTACAGAAATAATAAAAAATGCAATGCTATAAAAGAACTAATAATATCCCATGAAATAAATAGAAAATATTCCAAAAGTTCAAACAGAATTCAAATAAACAGATGAGATCAGAGAGAGAGAGAGAGAGAGAGAGAGAATGTTAGAATACGACCGTAACAGTGAGAAATAAGATCTAATTATTCATGTTATATTTAATTGCTTGCTCAATCTTAGAATGTGCAATAAAAAATTTCAGAAATGCTAACCTAAATTCTGCAAAAATCTTACTAACTAGACTTTAATATTTGTTTAAAAGTGTGTTTGTTTTGAGCTTGAGGATATATAGTCCAAATGTAATCCTCATGCTTTAGTTAGGTTAGTTCATTAGCTATTCCAGGGTGATCATATTATTTATTTGAATTTAGTTTGGTTCATCTATTTCTGTTTGAATTTTATTTATGGTACCTTTGCCATAATTATTGATTATTTTTGTTCTCTCACACTCTCTCATACCTGAAATATTTACATGGTTCCAATTATCAGAAGCATACCATAATGTATATTCAGAGAACTGACATGTTACCCCCTTCATTCTATTATTTTCACTATGTTCCCATCCACCTCTGCTCTCTGGCTTAGTATTCCCACTTTTGATTTTAGAGGAGCCACCAGAATGTTTTATTATCTCCTCCCATTTTTAAACACCACATAGAGTATAGTTTTTTATACTTTTATTTTACCTAAAAATAGCCTGCTACATATAAAAATTATATATACAATTATAATGTAATCATACTATATTAACTTAAAGAAAATTTTCTCTTTTTTTTTACAGTTACATAGTACTCTTTTGTGTCTGTATACATTTCTGATTTAGTCAATCTCCCTTGTTTTGACATTTAGCTAATTTTAACTATAATATTTTAAATAGTTTAAACACGAGGGCTCATGCCTGTAATCCCAGCACTTTGGGAGGCCAAGGCAGGTGGGGATCACGAGGTTAGGAAATCGAGATCATCCAGGCTAACATGGTGAAACCCTGTCTCTACTAAAAATACAAAAGATTAGCAGGGTGTGGTGGCACGCATCTGTAGTCCCAGCTACTCGGGAGGCTGAGGCAGGAGAATCGTTTGAACCTGGGAGGCGGAGGTTGCAGTGAGCCTCACCACTGCACTCTGGCCTGGTGACAGAGTGAGACTCTGTCCAAAAAAAAAAAAAGAAAAAAAAGAAAATTATGATTGTTGCATACACATACACACACACACACACACACACACACACACACATATATATATCCTATCTTCTGCTTAAATTTGTGATATCCTATCTTTTACTTAGATTTGTGGAAGTGAAATTGCTTAGCCGTAATATACTATGTAGATTTTTTGGATAAAACCAAATATCCTTCTTTAGGAATGTGCAAACTGGCATTTCCTCAAAAGTTCATGGGAGTGCATTTTCCACATATCCTCACCACAGAGCGCTGTAATTCCTCCATCAGCCTCTCTCTCTCTCTCTCTCTCTCATCTTTCTATCTAAACTTGGCTAAAATGGCATAAAATAAATAATATCTCAGTTTATATTTATACTTCCCTTATAATAAGAAAAGTTAAATGTTCATATGTCTAAGAGCTTTTGACATATTTTTGTGAGTTGTCAGTTTACATCTCTGCCCTTATGTTTCTATGAAATTTTTAGTCTTTTCCTCTCAATTTGTATTAATTAAGAAAGTCTTTTATTGTAAAAATAATGTTGCAAATATTTTCTCCCAGTTTTTCAATTGTATTTTGGTGTTCTTATATGGTGTTTTTGCTTTGCAAAGTTTTTCTTTTTCTTTTCTTTTTTCTTTTTTTTGGGATGTAGTCAAATGTTCCACTAATTTTTTTCATTGCCTCTGAAATTTTATTCAGACTTAGAAGAATTTTACCTACATAGGGTTATATAGGAATTCATCTCTGTTTTCTCTCATCCTGGAATGCTTTGATTTCTTTAAAAGAGTAAATGCTACATTTATTTTAATTATTATTTTATATAATGTGAGAAGGGATTTAATTATATCTTTTTCAAAATGGCAAACTGATTGATTGATTTATCCCAGAGCCATGCATTACAAATCTCCTCATCATCTCAGTGTTTTAAGATTCTACCTTTATCATAAACTAAAGTTTATTTTTTACTTGCATTTATTTCTGTTATATAATTACTTCTTTATCCTATTTCACTGTATGTCTGCATGCACCAATGCACAGTTTTAATTGTAAGGTTTTATATAGTATGTTTAATATTGGGTAAGGCTAATTTCTTCCCCTATACTACAACTTTCTTTTTAGTATTTCCAAGTTAATTTTGTATATTTACTTGTATATTTTTGTACATTTTGTATACTTTTATATGTTTATTATCTTTCTTTTGTATATTTTATATATTTATTTTGTATGTTATTTTTACATATAATTTCAGTATCAACTTGTCTAATTATGTAAAGAAACTTATTAACATATTACAGAGATTGCAGTCATATTATAAATTAACTTATAGGGAGCTAAGCTGTATTCTATAAAGTTTAAGCATTTTACACAAAAGTAAAAGACTTCTTCCCATTTTAATAATTTTAATTTTATATTTTTCAGGCCTTTTAAATTTTTTTCATGTAGATTTTGCACATTTCTTCTTACACTTATCTCTTAGTATTTTATAGTTATTGTTGAATATTGATTTTATGTGTTATTATATTACCTGTTATTGCTTGTGTATATGTATTAGATATTCTATTTTAATGTTTGCTGTTCTATTGAATTGTTTTATTTTAATTTAGTTTTATTACTGAATCTCTAGGGTTTTCTAGTTACAAAACCTTATCATCTGCACATGTAAATAGGTTTGCTTTTTGTTTCTGATTCTTATGTCTCTAAATGATTCATTATGTCTAATGGAATTGGCTAACCTCTACTATTAAGTTGAACATTAGTAAGAAGAGTGCAATACATTCTTTAAAATCTTAGGAAATACAAGTAGTGTTTCTGAATTAAGTAAAATACTGATTCTAGGACTAAGATTATATAAAATTCCCATATCATGTTAAGAAAGTAAACATCAATGACCAATTTTGTACTTTTTTTCATCTCTCAGGAATAAATTATACATTTTGCAAAGGACTTTCCATCTTCTATAGAGGAAAAATAGCTGATTTTTACTTTTAGATGTATGAATATGGTGTGCAGAAAGAGTTAACACATAGCAGACCTGATTTCTATCCTTCAAAAGGCCTGTTTAAAAGATTAGGCTTGGCCGGTGCTGAGAACTTAGATTTTGGAAGGATTACCATCACTCTGATGGATAAGAATGGCTCACTGTGCCTAAACTGCTTGTACAAACAATGCGGTTTATGCTAACATTTTTCTTTCCTTCTAGGAGTCTGGAATTTTGATAGGTGCTACGCAGAAGGTGCCTTATGACTATCCCCTAATAGAAATCCTAGGCACTAAATCCCTAATGAGCTTCCCTGGTGGACAACATTTCATATATGTTGTCAAAAGTTGTTGCTGAGGGAATTAAGCAGAGCCCATATGATTCCACAGGGAAAGGACTTCTAGAAACTTTCATAGCTGGTTTCCACTGGACATTGCCACATATGACATTTCCCTTTACTTATATGCTTTGCATCCTTTTACTGTAGTATATGATAGCCATGAATAAGACTATGAGTCCTCCTAGCAAATCATCAAACCAGAAGATTCATGCGGTTTTTATATCAATGGATTTCCTAATATTGTATCAACATCATATTCCCAGAATAAATCACACTTGATCAAAATGTATCAGTTTCTTAATGATGTGTTGTATTCTGTTACTAATATTTTTACATTTCAATCAGTATTAATAACTGATATTTGTCCATAATTTTCTTTTCTAACTGTATTAGGTTTAGGTATAAATGCCATGCTTACTTTACAAAAAGTATTAGATTTTCCTTAATTTTTTGAAATTTTCTTTTTTATAAGGTGCAAAAAATTTCAAAATCATTGGGACTATCCAGGCTTTGAAATTTTGATACAAGTCTTCCTTGAAATCATCTGGGCTTAATAAGATTGATTTTGAGGAAGTGTCGTGATAAATTTTTCTTTTCCTAATAGAGAAATTAGCTTATTTAAATTTTTTACATATAGTAGGGTCTATTTGGGCAAATTATATTTCTGTAGGAAATTATCATTATATCTTTCAAATATATAGCAGAGAGATTGTAGGATTTTTTAAATGCATTGTATGTCATGTCAATGGTTACTTCCTCCTTGTCCTTTATTATACATATACCTCGGTTAAGGTAGCTAGTAATTGGTCTCTCTTGAAAATTTTTTACCAAAAAATATTATTTTTATTTAGTAATTATATAATTTGTTTCTCAATTTAGATAAATTGATAAAGCAAATATTATTTTTTGCTTTATCTTTCCTTTATTTTTTATCTGTTTTTCTTTTCTCATCTTGTTTAACATGAAAATTTCATTCACTTATAATTTTTATTTTTATTCATAAAAGGGTTTAGGCTATAAAACTTTTTCTGGCTACATTCTTGAATGTATTACAGGTGTCCTGATATAGACTACCTCCATTATCCATGATTTTTATTAAAAAATACTTTTGGATTGTATTTTACCTTTAACCCAAGAGTTTAATTTAAAAAGGGAAAGAAAAATGATAGAAGTAGGCCAGGCACAGTGGCTCACACCTGGAATTCCAGCATTTTGGAATCTGAGGCAAGAGGATTCTTGAGCACAGGAGTTACAAACTGGCCTGGGCAACATAGTGAGACTCTGTTTCCATAAACCAGTTTTAAAAGTTAGCCAGCTAATTTGGAAAGATGGCTTGAGCCTGAGAGGTCAAGGCTATAGTGAGTCATGACTGTGCCACTGCACTGCCGCCTAGAAGACAGAGTGAGACCCTATCTTAAAAAAATCATAGAAGCAATAATATCATAGTTATATACAATTAAAATATATTGCAAATACCAAAAATTTTACTCGTTTTAATTTTCTACACTAATCATGTACAGCTGTAACAGTTGTACAGTAAACAGCTGTATATAGCCTTCACTTCTCGCTAGACGTCTTATCAGAAAAGAACTTAAAATTTATGGGAAAACCTTGCACTTTGTGTTAGAAACTTAGTTTCTTGGCTTTCTTATTTCTATCTGATGGAGGGCAAAGAACTTCAATAGTTCACAGGCTATGCTGAGACAAATTAGAAAAGAAACATAAAACAGAAATATTTTGTGTATAGCACATTGCCCAAAGATGAGACAAATTGGTCTTTCTAAAAATGATATGGTGCAATGGAGACATTTAAGAGCTTGTTAGCAATTCCTACAGGTCCCAAGAGGCTCAAAACAGTTCACAAACAGAACAGAATATGATTTAGTATATTTTCAAAGAATTCAAAAGTTTTTGTAACACTCACTCATGAAATCTTCAGGGAAAAACAAACTTTGCTACTCTTTTTATTTGGTAACTTTCTATATTCTCAGAATAAGCTTGAAAACCATTTTATGTTGGCCCCAATATCCCACAAATCTGGCAACACTGACAGGAGTCATGTCATTCTGACAGTTGGACCTGACTAAACTAAGTTAGTGGCCATGGGTGTCTGTCAATTTTAATGATGGTAGGCAGATTTCCCAAAATGGTAATCACTCCGAAGATGTTTTTTTTTTTATTTTTTAAAAATTAATTAATTAATCAATTTTTGCCTGTTTTTGGCACTTCTAGCAAGTATTCTCTTAGTATTCTTTTTTTAATATACTTTAAGTTTTAGGGTACGTGTGCACAACATGCAGGTTTGTTACATATGTATACATGTGTCATGTTGGTGTGCTGCACCCATTAACTCATCATTTAACATTAGGTATATCTCCTAATGCTATCTCTCCCCTCTCCCCCCACCCCACAACAGGCCCTGGTGTGTGATGTTCCCCTTCCTGTGTCCATGTGTTCTCATTGTTCAGTTCCCACCTATGAGTAAGAACATGTGGTATTTGGTTTTTTGTCCCTGCGATAGTTTGCTAAGAATGATGGTTTCCAGCTTCATCCATGTCCCTGCAAAGGACATGAACTCATAATTTTTTATGGCTGCATAGTATTCCATGGTGTATATGTGCCACATTTTCTTTTCTTTTTTTTTTTACATTTTTTTAACATTTTTTTAAAATTTATCATTATTATACTTTAAGTTTTAGGGTACATGTGCACAATGTGCAGGTTAGTTACATATGTATACATGTACCATGCTGGTGCACTGCACCCACTAACTCGTCATCTAGCATTAGGTATATCTCCCAATGCTATCCCTCCCCCCTCCACCCACCCCACAGCAGTCCCCAGAGTGTGATGTTCCCCTTCCTGTGTCCATGTGTTCTCATTGTTCAATTCCCACCTATGAGTGAGAATATGCGGTGTTTGGTTTTTTGTTCTTGCAAGTGCCACATTTTCTTAATCCAGTCTATCATTGTTGGACATTTGGGTTGGTTCCAAGTCTTTGCTATTGTGAATAGTGCCACAATAAACATACGTGTGCATGTGTCCTTATAGCAGCATGTTTTATAATCCTTTGGATATATACCCAGTAATGGGATGGCTGGTTCAAATGGCATTTCTAGTTCTAGATCCCTGAGGAATCGCCACACTGACTTCCATAATGGTTGAACTAGTTTACCGTGCCACCAACAGTGTAACAGTGTTCCTATTTCTCCACATCCTCTCCAGCACCTGTTGTTTCCTGACTTTTTAATGATCGCCATTCTAACTGGTGTGAGATGGTATCTCATTGTGGTTTTGATTTGCATTTCTCTTAGTATTCTTTGTATTCCTACTCTTCCTTTTTGCAAATTGCCTATGTGCAATCATCAAGTATTTTAATGATAATTCCTGTCTTTATTTCCCTTATATTACTCTATTCTCTCCATGTCAATGACTTTCCTTCCAATATCATGCACTTACTCCATACAGACCGTTTCAAAACTTGTCCATTCTCCATTCCCTCCAGCTTCCCCTCAGTAATTGGTCAGTTAATAAGCCTTTCTGATCAAGTCACCATCTGTCACTGGAATTGTTGCAATAGCCTCTTGACTGGCCTTTCTGATTTTTGCCCTTGCCCCTCTAAAGTTTATTCTTAACAGGACAACTAGTGTGACAAAACAATCAATCAATCAGTCAGTATTGTCCTTCCTATGATGAAATGCTTCTATTCCAATGGCTTCTGTTGTCTCTAAGAGTTAAAGAGAAATTATTAAAATATCTATTAATGCCCACATTCTAGTCCTTTAATATATGCTATATATTAAATGTTATATATTTATAATATTATATATGTATAATATTTATATTTCCCTCCTCCTTTATAGCATTTCACACTACCTGTGGCTTCACTGGAGTTATTGCATTGAATTTGCTGCCCTTTTCTTAAGTCAAACTTTTTGCTCATGGTGAAAGGAATAGAGAAAGAGTTTCTGAGATTCCTGTAAAATGTATATTATTTATTAACATAATACAGCACCTAATAAATTTTGGTAGGTCATCTTAAAATAAATAATGGGTCAATTTTTAAAATATGCTTTTTGAAAAAATATTAAGATCTCAGTAAGGCAAAGTGATTCTTTAAATTTCATATAATAACCACATATCAGAACTAAAACATACATTTATTTCTCTCAAAATATAAATTATTGGCTCTCTACTGTATCACACCATGGTTATTTAAAAAACAGTAATTATTCTTGATATAGTAACCACAAATTTGTATTGACTGGTTTTAAAATCTATACTAACCAGGAGAACATTTTAATATACACTAACATTTTAAGTTGAGTTTGTTAAAACAGAAGGGAATTTATATACTCTCTGATATATCATGTAAACATTTTAAGTGTAGCTTTTTTCTTATAAGAAGATTTTGTCAATTAAATAATTTCAAAGAAAAACGTTTTTTTCTTTTATGGCATACAGTTAAATTCTTTCTCTTTGATGTACAGTTCTCTAAGTTTTTAAAAATTCAATTAGTATTGTACCTACCACCACAATACAGATACACAACTCTTTCATCACTGCAAAATATCACACTTTGCATTTGTGTGTTTCAACCCTACACACACCTCTAACACCTGACAATCACTATTCTCTTTTGATCTGTTTTCTGTTTCTACAGCTTTTCCTTTTTAAGAATGTCATATGATATGGTTTGGCTCTGTGCCCCCACCCAAATCTCATATAAAATTGTAAGTCCCAGTGTTGGAGAAGGGGCTAGGTAAGATGTGATTAGATAATGGAGGCAGATTTCTGCTTGCTGTTCTTGTGATAGAGGTCTCAGGAGAGCTAGTTGTAAAGCGTGTGGTCTCTGCTCTCTCTCTTCCTTCTGCTCCTTCCTTCTGCCATCTTCGTGAGAAGATGTGCTTGCTTCCTCTTTGCCATCTATGATGATTGTATGTTTCCTGAGGCCTCCCCAGCCATGCCTCCTGCATAGTCAGTGGAACTATGAGTAAATTAAACCTCTTTTCTTTATAAACTTCCCAGTCTCAAATAGTTATTTATAGCAGTGAGAGAATGGACTAATACAGAAAATTGGTACCAAAAAAGTGGAACATTGCTATAAAGATACGTGAAAATGTGGAACAAGCTTTGAAACGGGGTAACAAGAAGAGATTGGAACAGTTTGGAAAGCCCAGAAGAAGATATAAGATGAGGAAAATTTGGAACTTCCTAGAGACTTGTTGAATGATTGTGAACAAAATGCTGATAGTGATATGGACAATAAAGTCCAGGCTGAGGTGGTTTCAGATCGACATGAGGAAATTATTGGGAACGGGAGTAATCGTCAAACATTTTGCTCACTGTAATGCTTTAGCAAAGAGATTGGAGGCGTTGTGTCCCTATTCTAGAAACCTGTGGAACTTGGAACTTGACAGCGATGTTTTAGGGTATCTGGAAGAAGAAATTTCTAAGGAGCAAAGCATTCAAGATATGAGCCGGCTGCTTCTAATACCATATGCTCATATGCACAAACTAAGAAACTGGAACTTATATTTAAAAGGGAATCAGAGCATGAAACTTTGGAAAACTGGTAGCCTGACCATGTGGTTGAAAAGAAAAAAACAATTTTCTTCGAAGAAATGTAAGCTGGCTGTAGAAATTTGCATAAGTAAAGAGGAACCGAATGTTAGTAGCCAAGAAAATGGAGAAAATGCCTCCAAAGCATTTCAGAGACCTTTGTGGCAGCCCCTCCTATCAAGGCCTGGAGGCCTATGAGGGAAAAATGGTTTCATGGGCCAGGCCCAGGGTCCCACTTCTCTGTGCAGCCTCAGGACATGGCACCCTGCATCCCATCTGCTCCAGCTTTAGTCATAACTAAAAGGGGCCAAGGTACAGCTCAGGCCACTGCTCCAGAGGATGCAAGTCAGCATCCTCCAATGTTTCCATGTGGTGTTAAGCCTGTGTGTGTGCAGAGGGCAAGAGTTGAGGCTTGGAAACACCTGCATAGATTTCAAAGGATGTATGGAAATTCCTGGATGTCCAGGCAGAAGTCTGTTGCAGGGGCAGACCCCTCATGGAGAACCTCTACTAAGAGAAATGTGGAGCTGGAACTCCCACACAGAGTTCGCACTAGGGCACTACCTAGTAGGGCTATGAAAAAAGGGCCACTGTCCTCCAGACCCCAGAATGGTAGATCCACTGACAGCTTGCACTGTGCACCTGGAAAAGCCACAGGCACTCAATGCCAGCCCATGAAAGCAGCTGTGGTGTCTGTACCCTGCAGAGCCACAGAAGTGGAGCTGCCCAAGGTCTTGGGAGTGCACCCCTTGCATGAACATGGCCTGGATATTAGAAATGGTGTCCAAGGAGATTATTTTGGAGCTTTAAGATATTTGACTGCCCTGCTGGGTTTCAGACTTGCATGGGGCCTGTAGCCCCTTTGTTTTGGCCAATTTCTCCCTTTTGGAATGGGAGCATTTATCCAATGCCTGTACCTTCATTGTATGTTGTAAGTAACTAACTTGTTTTTGACTTTACAGGCTCGTAGATGGAAGGAACTTGACTTGTCTCAGATGAGACTTTGGACTCAGACTTTTGAGTTAATGCTGGAGTGAGTTAAGACTTTGAATGATTGTTGGGAAGGCATGATTGTGTTTTGAAATGTGAGGACATGAGACTTGGGAGGGGCCGGGGTTAGAATATAGTTTGGCTCTGTGTCCCCATCCTAATCTCATGCTGAGTTGTAATTTTCAGTATTGGAAGAGGGGCCTGGTGGGAGGTGATTGGATCACGGGGGCGGATTTCCCCCTTGCTGTTCTTGTGATAGAGTTCTCATGAGATCTGGTTGTTGTAAAGCATGTGTCACCTTCCCCTTATGTCTCTTCTTCCGGCTCCTGCTATGGACACATGTCTGCTTCTGCTTTGCCTTCCACCATGATTGTAAGTTTCCTGAGGCTTCCTCAGCTATGCCTCTTGAACAGTCTGTGGAGCTGTAAGTCAAACAAATATCTTTTCTCCATAAATTACCCTGCCTCAGGTATGTCTTTATAGCAGTGTGAGAACAGAGTAATACATCATCTAGGATGTAACCTTTTGAATCTGGCTATTTCACTTAGCGTAATATATTTGAGATTTATCATAGCTATTATATGTTTCAGTATTTTGCTGCTTTTCTTTGCTAAGTATGGATATATCACAATTTGTTTATTTGTTCACCCATGGAAGTTTTTTTTTTTGGTTTAGACAATAATGAATAAGCCACTATAAACTTTGTGTAAAGATTTTTGTTTTATGATAAGCTTCATTTATCTTTGGTAAATACCTAAGAGTGGAATTACTGGATTTTATAGTAAGTGTGTAACTTTATAAGAAACTGCCAAACCATTTTTCAGAGTGAATGTACCTTAAAGGTACATTTAATCTTGAATTGCATGTCTGTGAAATAGCAGAATTTCCTGATACTTATAAGATGTTTTAATCTCATATGAAGAGCTATGACCTAGAAAATTTCAGCCTTTCAGACTAAACATTTTCCAGATTTGTCAAGTTGATTTCACAGTATTCTGACTTGTATCTTAATAATGGAGACATAGAGCTAATAATGAATAACAAGTTAGTGGTAAGTTAAAATATTTTTTAAATGAATGTGTCCTTCAGTATTTTTCTCATTTAAATGATTAATATGAGCTTCAAAATTTTAATTTAATTCCAATATTAAAGTATAAATGAAACTAAACATTTCAAATACATTAAATATATTAAAGTTGAACTTGAGAAAACTTTGAGAGTAATTTTTAACTTGAAATATTGTAACAGTGCAGCTCTTACTGTGCAGAGCAAATCTGGTGAAATTAATTTGACACCAGTCTTAAAAAACTACATTTTGTTTTCAAGTGACCATTCTAAGGGAATTTTAACATTTATAATCATTGTTTTTCTTCAAGAAAGCTCTAAAATATGGAACACATATGGAAATATTCCAGCTTCATTAGGTGAAATATCCATTCCACCAAATAACCAAAATGGATCTAACTTTGGTATATGTTCGTATCTGCTGAAGAAGAATTTCATGAAGGTCACCTGAGTCTTAGTATTTCACTATGATTATCATCTCCATATGGTGTCATTGAGAAAGCCAAAGCATTTGTAATGGTTTGCCAAAGATTCTCTCTTAAACCTTTAAGCACCATTTAAGGTGTTTTATTTTTTCTGTGATTATTTCTTTTACTTAACTCTTTATTAACTTTTTAAAATATCATGTACCTTAAAATTTTACCACCCGATGACATTCTCTTTCTTATATTCTCCTAACAATTTGAAATCTTATATTGTCTTATTTTAACTTGTATTTTGTCATCATCTCTTTTAAATAAGTCCATTCTTCTAATTCTTAATAGGTAGACATAGAAAATGTCTTCTGTATTTGTGTTTTACATGACCTTTGGCTTATAAGGCATAATTATTACTTGCTGTTAGGCAGAAAATTTGCAACTCAAACCCAACTGTTCATGTAAAATATGAAGTGAAATATTATCTCATAAAAATGATTCTTCTCTGGAAACTTAGCAAAATTTATCCCGTTGCACAGGCTTGAAACATTGACTTCCCTAACTTTCCTCTCTCCCTAATATCTACTCAACCGTTGTTCTATCAGTTTAAGATCCTGTATGTCCTCCTTCACTGATGCTCTTCATTACAGATTTTTTCTGCCCTCTTTCTAAAATAACATTCTCATTTCAGTTTTCTGCCTACTTCCTTGATTATTTAGTGTTCTGTTAACTTATCTCATACTTCTGCATTCATATACACCTTATATTATCCTCCAAATAAATGCTTATTTTACTCAGTTATATTTCAACAACTGCATTGGTTCCATATTAATAATCCTAGATTGGTTTATTTCATTTTAATTAAGGCAAGCTAATGCCTTTTTTTGAATTATTTTCTTTTCACCGCACAGGAATGAAGTGTGCTTTTTAAATAGATACTTTTTCTATACTTTTTTCATGCTTGTTAATTCATGTTGTTAACATCATGATCTCTCAATATTTTGCTTTAATAAAAATAGCATGCAAATTTTACACATGTATGATTCCCACATTTTAAAATGTTTCTGGACTATATTATGCATTTGTTTTCAACAAAAAAAACCTAGCTAATTTTTTGAAGTCTTATGATAAATTTTAGACTCTAAAAGTTAAAATTGATAGGGTAGCATCTTTAAAAAGTGATTTTATTTTATTCATTTTCATTATGACTCATGATCCTTTTATTATATTCCAAGAGAAAAAGAAGAAAAAGAAGAGGAAGGAGGAAGAGGAGGAAAAGGAAGAGGAAAAGGAGGAAAAGGAAGAGGAGAAGGAGGAAAAAAAATAAAATAAATAAAATACTACCTATAGTAAAGGGCATTTCTCAAACTTGGGTCTGACCCAGATGGCCTTAATCTTTCCCTTAGCTTGACTAAATATTACACGGACTTCTTGCTGCTTCTAGATTTCTGGACTTCCTCTCACTCTTGCCTTTATAGAATCTAGATGGTCTAAATTCTAGATTTTAGAGAATTTAAAATCAGAGAGGCCCCTCTTCTCTCTCTTTTTTTTTTTTTTTTTTTTTGACAGGCTTGCTCTGTCACCCAGGCTGGAGGCTGGAGTGCAGTGGCGCGATCTTGGCCCACTGCAAGCTCTGCCTCCTGGTTTCACGCCATTCTCCTGCCTCAGCCTCCCAAGTAGCTGGGACTACAGGTGCCCGCCACCACGCCTGGCTAGTTTTTTGTATTTTTAGTGGAGTTGGGGTTTCACTGTGTTAGCCAGGATGGTCTCTGTCTCCTGACCTGGTGATCTGCCCACCTAGGCCTCCCAAAGTGGTGGGATTACAGGCAAGACCCACCACGACCGGCCTCCCTTTTCTTAAAATATTTACTTTGGAAATCTGATGACTACAGATTTTTTTCCTCTGGCCCTTTGAGAAAGGGTTTTCAAATTAAGCAATTGACTTTTATAGTCCATGAATGTCTTAGCCAAGGACCTAGGAGACATCTCTTTGAAATATAATCATCAATGGAGATAGTACCTCTGTCTTCCAGTTTCTGTGGGGAGAGTTGAAGCCTAACTTCATATCAAGTCTAGCTCCAAATAGTAAAACTATCCCCTATCATGATGATACAAGAAACTTTACCTTTCACTTGAGTAAGCCCAACTAGCAAACACAGATGGCTTAAGGTTCTTCCAACCTCAGCTCTTAAAAACTCTCCAGGCCTTTGTTTCAACAGAGCTTAATTCAGACTGAATTTTGCTCCTCTCCTATATCACAGTAGCCTTACATAGTCTTCCTTACCTATGTGGCTTTCCAATGAGATTTTTACTTTAACAATGCATCTCTATCAAGATCACCAGGATCCTTGTCCAAAATCTCAATTTCTTCTGGCCCTGATACAGACCTACATAAGTAAAATTCCTGTGACTTGGCATTCTGTATTTTTTCATTAAATTATATGGATAATTACAGACTGAAAACAATTATTATCAGACCCCCACCCTGATAAGCATATCTTCAAATTTCTGGTTCCTAAAATTAAGTTCCTTTCTATATAAATTTATTTTCCAATTATTTGTTGCTTCAATATATGGTTTAATTAGTATTGAAAACACAAAAACACAAATTAACAAAAAAAATATATTTGAGTGCTACTTATCTTTTAAAGCCTGGCGTCCATGGAGCTCATTTGCATGGGTTTCTGTAAAAAAGTACCACAAACTGGATGGCTTAAACAACAGAAACTTATAGAGGCCAGAGGTCCAAGATAAAAGTGTCAACAGGATTGGTTCCTTCTGAGGTCTATGAAAGAGAACATTATTTATGCCCCTCTCCTAGTGTCTAGTGGTCTGTTGGCAATCTTTGCTATTCCTTGACTTGTTTGTATTAGGTTGGTGCAAAAGCAATTGCAGTTTTTGCAATTACTTTTAATGGCAAAAACTGCAATTACTTTTGCACCAATCTAATAGACATATCACCTAGAATCTGCCTTCACATTCAAATGATGTTCTACTTGTGTATGTTTGTGTTTAAATTTCCTCTTTTTTATAGAGACACCAGTTCTATTGGATTAGTGGCCCACCCTACTTCCATATAACCTCATCTTAACTAATTACATCTGCAACTACCCTATTTCCAAATAAGGTCACATTCTGAGGCCCTGGAGTTATGACTTTAACATATAAAGTCATATATATTTTTGCAGGATCCAATTCCAACCATAATAGATGCACATCTCTAAAGAAGTACAAAGACTTCAATCCCATCCTGTTCCTTCTTCTTACTGTGGAAACATGTCCCAATCTTCATTAGGGAGTTTGAAAATTGCTCAAATCAACTTTGCTGGCTTTGGGTATAACAACAGGTTTTATGCATAGAGGTGAGAAGAAAATTAGTTTTATTTCCACATGCTTTGTTTCATTACTACCACCTTAAGGTCCAAAGTAGACGGATAAGTGATGGAGAAGATAACAGGCCCATGGAATGTTTCTTATGAGAAAAACATGGATAAAAGAAAACTTACATCATATTTCCCAGAGGGCTGAGTAGAGCAAGGAGTGTGGTGAGCTTGAGGCATGCCAAAGAATAAGAGAAAATGCTCCGAAGAAAGAATGGGAGAAATGAGTTTTGATTAGCAAAGACATGGAATCAGCCTAAATGCCCATCAATGGTATACCAGATAAAGAAAATGTATATATACACCATGGAATACTATGCAGCCATAAAAAAGAATGAGATCATGATATTTGCCACAATATGGATGGAGCTGGTTATATGCAAACTAACGTAGGAACAGAAAAACAAATACAACATTTCTCATTTATAAGTGGGAGCTAAACATTGAGTACATATGGAAACAAAGAAGGGAACAACAAACACCAGGGCCTACTTGAGGGTGCAGGGTGGGAGGAGGATTGAAAAACTACCTATGAGACACTATGCTTATTACCTGAGTAATGAAACAATCTACACCAAGCCCCCGAGACATACAATTTGCCTATGTAACAAACCTGAACATGTAACTCTGAACCTAAAATACAATTTGAAATAAAATAAATACAAAGGATCCTTCCAATAAATAAAGTTTTTCTCTTCATTTATTAATGGTTTATAATTTTTTAAAAGTCTTAACAAGACATTTGTGTTAGTTCATTATCACGTTTCTGTAAAGAACTACATGACACTGGGTAATTTCTAAAAAAAAAAAAAAAGAGGTTTAATTGGCTTACAGTTCTGCAGGCTATACAGGAAACATGGCTGAGGAGGCCTAGGTAAATCATGGCAGAGGGTGAAGAGGAAGGAGGCACGTCTTACATGGCCAAAGCAGAAGGAAGCAACAGTGAAGGGGGAGTTGCTACATGCCTTTAAACAACCAGATCTTGTGAGAACTCACTCACTATCACAAGAACAGGAAAGGGGAAATCCGACCCCATGATCCAATCACCTCCCACCAGACTGCTCCTCCAACACTGGGGATTACAATTCCACATGAGATTGGGGGGGTGGGGAGAGAAATGAAAACCATATCAACACATTGTATTTTCATTCAAAAGTGATACTTTTAGTAAAGAAAAAAAAGAAAATGTATTTTCTAGGGAATGCTACCTCATGAAGGAATTTTGATTTCTATATGTTTTTATTTTAAAAGTTCATGGCATGGCAAAACAATGCAAGTGGAAACAGTAAAAAAAAAAAAAAAAAAAAAAAACAAAAAAACCCGACAACAACAAAAAACAAAACAGTGTTTCCCAGGGACTGGGTGCATGCAGAGATAAACAGGCAGAACACAGGATTTTTAGGGCAGTGAAACTACTTTGAATGTTAATACTGAAACACGAATTTTTGCTTACTCAGCCTGCAGTTCTTAACCTCTGGCAGGAGGGGGAGAATGCAGTTGAGCGGGTGCAGGAGCTGGGACTAGTGCTTCTGGGTGCCAGCAGGAGCAGAACTCTGTGCAGCTCCACGGCAGCATCTAGGGGGGTACCTGCAACCCCTGGAGCCTCAGAGGGGGTGTGTTACAGTGCTGTTTTAGCTTTGCCATCTGTTGACAGCTTAAATGTTAAACAGCTCAACTGTCTGCCCCTGTGGCTCCCAAGCTCTTGTTTGGCCTCCAGGAAGATTTAAGTCACAGGAAGGAATTGGAGTGTAGTGAATACAAAGGATTTTATTGCTGATGAAAGTGACTTTCAGTGGGAAGCAGAGCTGGAGAGGGGATGGAGCAGGAAGGTGGTCTTCCCCTGGAGTGTGGCCCTCCCCAGCCAGGCTCTTCTCCAAAGTCCCACCATCAAGCCATCCCTCGGTTGTCAAGCTGCTTCTCTCTGATGTCTGGCTGCTTCTCTTCTCTCCTTCTCTGCTGCTCTTCTGCCAGTGGAGCCTGGGGTTTTATGGGTACAGGCTTGGGAGTAGGGCAGGCCACGGTGCTTTTGGAGAAGGCAACATTTAAGAGGGAAAACAAGGATGTGAAATTCTCACTTTGGGTTGCAGTTCCAAGCTTGAGGGTGGGGCCTTCCTAGGGTCCACCCTCTTTTACTTAGCATTTCCCTGCCTCCAGTCCATATTGCTATGATGGTGGATACATGTCATTATACATTTGTCCAAACCTACAGAATATAGAATATCAGAGTGAACCCTAATACAAACTATTGATTTTCAGTGATAATGGTATGTCAAGGTATGTTCATCAGTTGTAACAAATGAACCACTTTGGTGGGGATAGTGATGATGGGGGATGCTATGTTTGTGTGAGGGCAGATATTATATAGGACATGTTTGTATCTTCCTTTCAATTTTGCTATAAACCTAAAACTGCATTTTTAAAAGTCTAAAAAACAGAAAAGTTCATGGTAAAGGACAATGTCATTTACAGAGCAGAAAGCCGCACAGAAGCATGAGGAACTGAACTATCTACAAATGTGCAAGACTCCACATTAAGGGCTGCTTTGGAATCTGAGGCATAAAGGCTGATCTCGTTGCAGGCCTGTGTGGCTATACTAGAGAAAGCTCAGGGAAACATAATTGGAGTCTGAAAATGATGTGACCAATTTATAGACAACATCAGCAACAGAGTGAAAAGCCCTCTGCCTTTATATTTTTGTTAAATAAAATAGTCACGACATATCCCTGGGGTTTTAGGACGCAATTGGGAAACCAGGAACTACATCAGCTGAACTTGAATATGGTTAGTGTAAGTTCAGGAATGAATAATTCTTACTGTTGCTGAATATGATTTAGGCTAAGAAAACAAAACTTAATTTTTCATCAGGGAGTCAAATCAGCTAACAGTGTACTAATCTGACATTCAAGAAAAATAAGGCATTGTGAAGCTAGGATGGCTCCTTCTCTTTACATTTCTCTTCAGTAAGAAAGACGCAAGCAAATGGAGTGAAGGGGATCCCTGAGCTTGATCAGGATTGGCCAGAGCCAGGGAAGGTTGGAGACAAAAGTCTCTAATATGCCTCTTGGGTAACCTGCATGGTCCACAATGAGGAGTGCTGTAGTCATTATGACATTAATCCATTACATATTTCAGAGATTATACTGTGGAGGGAAGGGAAATTCTCCCACGAATGGTAGGAGGAAAGGATTAAATGACAATTGTGATGCACTCTTTCATCTGAAAGTTATCCATTTTCCAGACACAACATTTGCCGAAAGTTCACCTGTATCTGAAAATACCTCCAGGCAAACGTGAATTACTCACATTTTTATCTGAAGAAGAAGAAAAGAGGGATTTGGAACTGATAAATGAAGTTGAGGAAACAAAAGATGGAGAATTAAGGGCATCAGATAATGTCATTACTCAGCTGGGATCTACATGTTTACCAAGATTGACCAGGAGGATATGTTAAGATAATGAGAGAGAAAGAGAAAAAAAGAGAGAGAGAGAAGAAAAGGAAAAGGAAAAGGAAGGAAGGAAAGAAGGAATTGATTATGGAAGGAGAGATGAAAAAGATGAAGAGAAATTAGGAGTTTTTGAGCACCCATGTAAGCTCAGCTACTGGTGTTTCTGGGCTTATTTCAGTTTTAGGTAGTGAGACTGGGGAAAAGAGGATTGGGGTAGCCAGATAGTTGAGGAAGAGCAAAGCAAGGGTTTCATAAGATTTTCTGTGTACTATGTATGTCCGACCCCATCAAGTAATACAAGTAAAATGTCTGATATGTATCTAAATTCCCTTCTCTCCCTGTGCTTTCTTAACTATGATAGTGTTCTTCAACTAAATCCTATGGATTTCTTGGTTCATATACATTTACACATTTTCAGTTCAGTTTTCATACTAGGTTATTCATTCTTGAATTTTTGCACAACCACCTAAAGCATACTTTACCCTTCCATTAATAAATGCAACACTGTGCACCAGCAATTTTTTTAAATGTTAGATGTTGAAGAAGGTAGAAATTAATATGCTTACTCCTAAGCAACTCCTGCCCCTCAAGTGGTTCTTCCTCAAGTTTGGGGAGTGCATGGTAATATGTACTTTGAAAAATCTCCCTGTGCTTCTGATATGCCTTGTTAAAAGAACAACCTCCTTGTCTTCCACACTTTCTTTTAGCATTACTGTTAATTACCTGCAGAAAATGATAATTATGAATATTCATTTTCTAAAACATTCTAATATTCTATGGTTCAATGTAGTACCCACTACCCACATGTGGCTCTCTCAAATTGAGTTGTGCTCTAAGTGTAAAATACACACTCGGTTCCAAAGACTTAGTACAACAATTATTGTATCAATATTCCCTATGTTGATTGTATATTGAATAATACTATTTTGAATGTATTGGTGTAACCTAGTAAAAGTCTTATTTGAGATGCCACTTCATACATTGTTCATTTGTGAAATTGTAATTCAACTGACTTGAATAGAATCTAGGAAAATTCTTTCTACTTTATTTAATTTTGCTCAATAAGTAATTATGATAACTATGATAGTGTTCTTCAACTGAGTATCCAGTTTCTCTGGCTCTTGTGTGTATAAACATGTTTGTTCATTTTATGTATTTGCTTCTATATTTGCACCTATATTTTAAAGAAAAGTTTATACCCTAAGGTCTTGCAGAGTCAAAGAAACCATAAGGAAAAAGTGGCTTCCCTAATATTGTGGTGAGTAAAGTCGTTTTGGGGCAGAACAAATAATACATAATGTATTTTTTCAGGAATTATTTTTTCAATGGTTTCTTGTGCCACTTAAAACCTCCTGAGTAAGCTAAATACAAATCAGGCGAGAAATTGAGTAGTCTTGTTTCTCTGCACAGAGGCTTGGATGCTATATTTGATGAAAACCGTATTTGGATTTTGTAGCTACAGGAACAACCTCAGAGATTCGCTCATGGGGATAAAAATATTAATATATGAGACAACATGAAAAGCAATTCAAAAACAAAAAGCACAAAACCAAACAGATCACAAAACCACAGAAATGCTTTTTTAAATTTATTTTTATTTTTCCAAGATAGGCTTAACTAAGAAATGCATAGTTTTTTTCAAAATTATTTGTTTATCATTTTAGATGTATTTGTTTGTAAATTGACAATCTTCCCATATGTGTAAATCATATCATAACTGTTAATAACAACACATACAACTAAATGTGATTACTCCAAAATGCTTGAAAAAAATTAATGTCAATCTGATATGGATAAAAGGAATAATTTATTTGAGGGTTACATAAGTCAATAATTCACTCCCAACCACTATCTTACCTTTCTTAATTGTTAACTAGAATTTTTATAAAAAATGGTACCTGACAGACACCTGAGAATAAATTTAAGTGCCAACCATATTTTTAAAGAAAATAATTAAAATATTGTCACCCATTGTAAGCTGTTGAATCCTCCTGCTAAGACTAGATTGATTCTCAGTGTACAGTGTACTTTTTGGTGTTTTGCTCATGAGATGTAGTAGCCTTTGGGATGGCACAGCTACTATTTTTTCAAAATATTATTCCACTCTATTTCTGCTCATTCTTGTAAGCTTTGCCAATACATAAATATAAGATTATTTCTTTCTGGCTACAATCAGCCATTAACACATAGTAGTAACAAGCTGGATGAATAGGCTTTTATAAAGAACAACCTTACTTATAGTTAGTATCTTGAATATCTATGGAATATCTATGATCATTTTGTACATAAATTATAATACTGAATGTAATCATTCTTTCTTGAAAATTGTAGACTCACATTTATCCTTACTATTCTAAATTTAATCCGTGCTGACTTTAATTCACAGACATTACACTGATATTAGCAAAAATGTATAAAGTTTATATAATCAAAACTTCATCTCAACAACTATTGATAGTGCCACTACATTTTGCATGCTTTAAAATTGATTCAATATGTAACCTAATACATTTAAGTTGCCCTCTTACCTTGCATTTGGCCACACATTCTCATTTGCTGGATCCATTTGTACTGCCCCACTTCCTCTTTGTTATTGGTATTATTCCTTTCAAGAAATATGGGATTTACAGGATATCAGAATTCCTGGTTCCTGAATACAAATGTAGTAGCACTTCCCCCGATGACAATTAGTGTTGAGTAAGGGGAAAAAAATGTTTGCTTACGTCAGATAATGAGATTGATGCTCTGAGAGAGATGTAAAAACTGAATACAGAGAAGGCAGTGGAAAGCAAATATGCACCCCCACGACCAAAACCAAGAATAACAAAATGGTGAATTCTGAAACAAGTGCCAGTTTTGAATGTAAGAAATATAAAAAAGAAATTTTCTTACCAAAAAATTAGGGATGCCTTAAAAATAAGCAAGAGGCTTTCAGGTAAACATAATTTGAACAATATGTCTAAGTAGGAAAGTTTCTTATTGTTCTAAAGATGAGGGGGTACAAGTATGGTGAATACTGAAAAGGTTTACCACAAGCATCTAGGCTCAGAGGAGGAAGTCTTAAAAATGGCAATTAATGAAAGCAATAAATAGCAATGAATGAAATACTGACACCACAAAATTAGACATATATAAAAAGTTTGTGTTTGTTAAATTTATGGATATTATGTTAGTTTTTTTCTGCAGAACCAAATGTTATGGAAAACTTTAATGAATTCATTTCTGGTGATGTTCAGAAAAAGAAAATTATGATTAAGCAACTACGTCTAAGGTTTGCGAGTACTGATTGTTTTAGGAACCATTATCTTTTCTATTCACTCATTTTGTTTTTTTTAAATAACAAAACAGTAATTTTTACATCCTGAATTAAGCAAATCTGTGCTCAATTACATCACAAGTATAAGCAATTGATATAATAAAACATATGGCAAGAATAATTTTACATTGCCTTATTGAAAAGGGTGTCAACATCTCCATCTTCCATAATTGAACATCAGAGCTAAATATGAAAGCATGGTTTCATAGTATATAAAGATGTTAACACATTTCAGTACTTTATTTCTACTCCTTATGCAGAGATAACTAAGATAAAGTATTTGTCATCAAGTAGTGTCTAGTATAGTAAGGACATATAAACAGATAAACATCTACAACATGATGTGATTCTTGATTAAAAAAAAGATCGCACGAGTTCCACTAAAAACACATTTAGAGTACTATATTTAATTTTAAGAAGGCTATGATATTTTTAAAAGGCTGTCAATGATCTAAACAGTTTAAAAGAATGTGACCATGCTGGTTAAAGATTAAAAATAAAACTAAATCAAGAAAGTTGAAGAACTACGTTTTATTTTGCCTGGAGAAATGAATACAAAAGAGAAACATTACAGTTGAGTTTTCTTATTTAAGAAGCTATTATTTTAATATTGGAAGCAAATTATACTCTTCCAGAAGAGAAACAGCTGACTAAGTAT